>NC_000003.12:171432846-171584361 GCF_000001405.40 Homo sapiens | reverse complement strand
CTGATCTAGCCACCAAGGATAGGAAGAGCAGGTTGTTCTGACAGCAAGACAAATATGACTGGAGGAGTGCAGAGGAGTTCCTCTGGGATAAAGAAGACAGAAGAGTGGCAGCACTGAGAAAAAGGGAATTGTACTTGCTAAGGGTGATTAGCACTTTTCTCTTAAAATACAGTTGCCAGCTTTAACACATAAAAATACAGGACCCCCAGTTAAATTTGAATTTCAAATGAGTATATGATTTTGTAACAGCTTTATTTATATATAATCATATACCACATGATTTATCTATTTATAGTGTACAATGGAATGATATTTAGTATACTAATAGATATGTGCAGCCATCATGATGGTAAATTTTAGGACACTTTCATCTCCTCAAACAGAAAACCCATATTCGTTAGCTATCAACCCCCAAACATTCATCTCCACTCCCTACCCAGCCCTAGACAACCACTAATCTATTTTCTATCATTTATAGATTTGTCTTTTCTGGACAATTCATATAAATGGAATCATATAATATGTGATATTTTATGACTAGCATAATGTTTCAAGATTCATCCATGTTGTGGCATGTATCAATGCTTCATTCAATTTTATAGCTGAGTAATATTTCATTGCATGGAAATACAAATGTTCATCCATTCATCAGTTGATGGACATTTGAGCTGTTTACACACATTAGGTATTATAAGTAATGCCATTATGCTCATTTCTATACAAGTCTTTGCATAGACATGTTTTCATTTCTCTTAGGTATACACTGATGTGGAATTGCTATATCATTTGATAACTCTATCTTTAATTTTTTGAGGACCTTTTTACATTCCCATAAGCATGTATGAGGCTTCTATATCCTCACCAACATTTACTGACTTTTTTATTATAGACTTCCTAGAGTGCGTGAGGTAGTATTTTACTGGGGTTTTCATTTGCATTTTCTTTTTTTTTTTAATTTCATAATTTAATAAGATTTTATTAATTTCATAATTAATTTCATAATTGTCATATATTGAATTCTTTTTTATTATTTCATGACCGTGGACATTGATTTCTTCACCAGATCATCAGAAACTGTTGGAGAAGTTCTCGATCTATAATTCTTTTGTTCTCTGCATAATTTTATGGAATCTGTGGTCAAATAGCATTTAATATGTGTTTCCTGGATATACCTCATAAACTCTTGCAAAATGATCTTATCAAATACTTTTCTTGAATATTCTGGCGTGGGTGCTCCTTGGCTCTTCTCTTCATTCAAGTATTTATTTGAGTATTTATTAATTCACCCAGGAGAGCCACTTGCATAGTCTAGTCTTAGGTATTGATACATCTGTTAAATATTTAGGTACCTTCCTTTTCTTTAGAAAGCTTTCACTCCAATAAAGACAATGAATGCAAAACCAACTACCTAAAATGTTGTCTGTTAAGTGCTAGAGATTTAGAGCTATGGGAAGGCCTAACTCTAGCTGAGAACCCACCGTGAGGTTGATAATTTTAGTGAAGTTGGAAGTTGAGCTACGTCTTGACACATGAGCAGGCATAGAGTCCACGACTCGGAGAGAAAATAAGGAGCATTCTGGGTGAGAAGAAAAAAGACATGAAAGCATGAAAATTCATTCATCTCTGAGAAATATTGATATAAGTTCAGTAAAGCTGAGAAATAAGAGGCTGGAATGAGGGACAGGTGAAGCTGAACATATTTAGGTAAAGGAGGTAAAGGTCGGATTATGAATGAGTTTTTTTTTTTTTTTTTTTTGAGACGGAATCTCGCTCTGTCACCAGGCTGGAGTGCAGTGGTGTGATCTTGGCTCACTGCAACCTCCACCTCCTGGGTTCAAGCGATTCTCCTGCCTCAGCCTCCAGAGTAGCTGAGACTACAGGCACGCGCCACCACACCTGGTTAATTTTTGTATTTTTAGTAGACACGGGGCTTCACCGTGTTGGCCAGGATGGTCTCGATCTCTTGACCTCGTGATCCGCCCATCTCGGCCTCCCAAAATCCCAGGACCACAGGCATGAGCCACCGTGCCCGGCCCATAAATGGCTTTTTAATATGAGCTGGTGATTTTTTTTTTTTTTTTTTTACTTTACTATTCAAAGTGATTAATTTAAGAGAGTGTTGGCCGGGCACAGTGGCTCACGCCTGCAATCCCAGCACCTTGGGAGGCCAAGGCGGGCGGATCATGAGGCCAGGAGATCGAGACTTTCATGCGCGTCGGTGTGAAGAGACCACCAAACAGGCTTTGTGTGAGCAACATGGCTGTTTATTTCACCTGGGTGCAGGCGGGCTGAGTCCGAAAAGAGAGTCAGTGAAGGGAGAGAGGGGTGGGGCCGTTTTATAGGATTTGGGAAGGTAATGGAAAATTACAGTCAAAGGGGGTTGTTCTCTGGTGGGCAGGGGCGGGGGTCACAAGGTGCTCAGTGGGGGAGCTTCTGAGCCAGGAGTAGGAAATTCACAGGGTTAATCACTCAGTTAAGGTGGGGCAGGAACAAATCACAATGGTGGAATGTCATCAGTTAAGGCGGGGCAGGGCCTTTCCACTACTTTTGTGATTCTTCAGTTACTTCAGGCCATCTGGGCATATACATGCAAGTCACAGGGGATGAGATGGCTTGGCTTGGGCTCAGAGGCCTGACTTTCCTGCCTTCTTATATTAATAAGAAAAATAAAACAAAATAGTGTTGAAGTGTTGGGGCGGCGAAAATTTTTTGGGGGTGGTGTGGAGAGAGAATGGGCGATGTTTCTCAGGGCTGCTTCAAGCGGGATTAGGGGCGGCGTGGGAACCTAGAGTGGGAGAGATTAAGCTGAAGGAAGATTTTGTGGTAAGGGGTGATGTCGTGGGGTTGTTAGAAGAAACATTTGTCGTGTAGAATTATTGGTGATGGCCTGGATACAGTTTTGTATGAATTGAAAAACTAAATGGAATAAGAGAAGGAGAAAAACAGGTATAAAAGGTCTAAGAATTGGGAGGACCCAGGACATCTGATTAGAGAGTGCCTAAGGAGACTCAGCATAGCCCTGCCAGCAAAGATTATTTATTTACTTCAAGAGTTTAGAGTGACAGTTTGGGGATAGCACCAGGAGATATCAGCTGTGATGGCTTGGAGAAACAGTGTAAACTGGCAGTGTAAACAAGAGCAGGGCATGTACGAGTAGTTGAGAATGGTGAATAGGAGTATGACTAGACAAAAGATAGTAGGGATGACAAGTTTTTTTGGGGGCACAGTCTAAGTTGGTCTGGTGTCGAATGAGACTGGGGCCTAATAAAAAGGAGCATCTATACAGGAGCTTAAATGGGCTCCTGTACACCTTGTAGCATTCTGAGGACAGGCCTGAATTCTGAGAAGAGAAAGTGGTAAAAGTATTGTCCAGTCCTTTTTAAGTTGGTGGCTGAGCTTGGTGAGGTGTGTTTTTAAAAGACCTTTAGTCCGTTCTACTTTTCTTGAAGACGGAGGACCGTAAGGGATATAAAGGTTTCACTGAATACTAAGAGCCTGAAAAACTGCTTGGCTGATTTGACTAATAAAGGCTGGTCTGTTATCAGACTGTATAGAGGTGGGAAGGCTAAACTGAGGAATTATGTCTGACAGAAGGGAAGAAATGACTGTGGTGGCCTTCTCAGACCCTGTAGGAAAGGCCTTTACTTATTCAGTGAAAGTGTCTATTTAGACTAAGAGGTCTAATAGTTTAGTTTCCTGACTCGGGACATGTTGAGTAAAGCTAATTTGCCAGTCCTGGGTGGGGGCAAATCCTCGAGCTTGATGTGTAGGGAAGGGAGGGGGCGTGAATAATCCCTGAGGAGTAGTAGAATAGCAGGTGGAACACTGAGAAGTTATTTCCTTGAGGATAGATTTCCACGATGGAAAGGAAATGAGAGGTTCTGAGAGGCGGGCTAGTGGCTTGTACTATAGCACAGCCTGCCTTTGCTGGAGTGTGGCGATTGGGTCTGGTGGAACTGCCATCAATAAATCAAGCGTGATCAGGGTGAGGAACAGGAAAGAAGGAAATATGGGGAAATGGGGTGAATATCAGGTGGATCAGAGAGATACAGTCATGGGGGTCAGGTGTGGTATCAGGAATAATGTGGGAGGCCAGATTGAAGTCCGGGCCAGAAACAATGGTAATTGTGGGACTTAAAGAGTGAGTACAGCTGAAAGAGCCAGGGAGCAGAAAGTATATGCATCAGGTATGAGGAAGAAAATAGATTTTGGAAGTTATGAGAAATGTAGAGAGTGAGTTGAGCATAGTTTGTGATTTTTAGGGCCTCTAACAGTATTAAAGCAGTGGCAGCTGCTGCACGCAGACATGAGGGCTAGGCTAAAACAGTAAGGTCAAGTTGTTTGGACAGAAAGGCTACACGGTGTGGTCCTGGCTCTTGTGTAAGAATTCTGACCGCACTAACCATGCCTAGGAAGGAAAGGAGTTGTTCTTTTGTAAGGGATTGAGGTTTGGGAGATTAATCGGACACGATCAGCAGGGAGAGCACATGTGTTTTTATGAGAATTATGCCGAGATAGGTAACAGATGAAGATGAAATTTGGGCTTGACTGAAGTAATGGGGGCTGTCTGTGAAGCCTTGCGGCAGTACAGCCCAGGTAATTTGCTGAGCCTAATGGGTGTCAGGGTCAGTCTAAGTGAAGGCAAAGAGAGGCTGGGATGAAGGGTGCAAAGGAATAGTAAAGAAAGCATGTTTGAGATCCAGAACAGAATAATGGGTAGTAGAGAGAGGTATCGAGGATAGGAGAGTATATGGGTTTGGCACCACAGGGTGGATAGGCAAAACAATTTGGTTGATAAGGCGCAGATTCTGAACTAACTTGTAAGCCTTGTCTGGTTTTAGGACAGGTAAAATGGGGGAATGGTAAGGAGAGTTTATATGTTTTAGAAGCCCATGCTGTAGCAGGCGAGTGATAACAGGCTTTAATCCTTTTAAAGCGTGCTGCGGGATGGGATATTGGCGTTGAGTGGGGTAAGGGTGATTAGGTTTTAATGGGATGGTAATGGGCATGTGATCGGTTGCCAGGGAAGGAGTAGAGATGTCCCATACTTGTGGGTTAAGGTGGGGGGATATGAGAGGAAGATGCGAAGGAGGCTTTGGGTTGGGGAGAAGGGTGGCAATGAGATGTGGCTATAGTCCAGGAATAGTCAGGGAAGCAGATAATTTAGTTAAAGTGTCTCGGCCTAATAAGGGAACTGGGCAGGTGGGGATAACTAAAAAGGAGTGCTTAAAGGAGTATTGTCTAAGTTGGCACTAGAGTTGGGGAGTTTTAAGAGGTTTAAAAGCCTGGCCGTCAATACCCACAACAGTTATGGAGGCAAGGGAAACAGGCCCTTGAAAAGAAGGTAATGTGGAGTGGGTAGCCTCCGTATTGATTAAGAAGGGGACGGGCTTACCTTCCACTGTGAGAGTTACCCGAAGCTCGGCATCCGTGATGGTCTAGGGGGCTTCCGAGGCGATCGGGCAGTGTCAGTCTTCAGCCGCTAAGCTGAGAAGATCTGGGAAGAAGTCAGTCAGAGAGCCTTGGGCCAGAGTTCCAGGGGCTCTGGGAGTGGCTGCCAGGTGAGTTGAACAGTCTGATTTTCAGTGGGGTCCCACACAGATGGGACGCAGCTTAGGAGGAATCCCGGGCTGCGGGCATTCCTTGGCCCAGTGGCCAGATTTCCGGCACGTGTAGCAAGCTCCTGGGGGAGGAGGTTCTGGAGGAACGCCTGGCTTCTGTGGTTCAGGCGTTTGGAAGTTCTTGTGTGCTGGAGATGTGGCTGGGGTTTGTCTCACAGTGGAGGCAAGGAATTGCAACTTTTTTCTGTTATTGTACACCTTGAAGGTGAGGTTAATTAAGTCCTGTTGTGGGGTTTGAGGGCCAGATTCCAATTTTTGGAGTTTTATTTAATGTCAGGAGCAGACTGGGTAATAAAATGTATATTGGGAATAAGACGGCCTTTTGACCTTTTAGGGTCTAGGGCCGTAAAGCGTCTCAGGGTTGCTGCCAAACGAGCAATGAACTGGGCTGGGTTTTTATATTTGATGAAAAAGCCTAAACGCTATCTGATTTGGGATAAAGAAAAAGGAGCATTAACCTTGACTATGCCTTTGGCTCCAGCCATCTTTTTAAGAGTAAATTGCTGGGCAGGTGGGGGAGGGCTAGTCTCGGAACGAAACTGTAAGCCGGACCAGGTGTGAGGAGGGGAGGTGATAAAAAGATTATAGGGTGGAGGAGCAGAGGCTGAGGAAGAATTGGGACCTAGCTCGGCCTGGCGAGGAGCAGCCTGGGGAGGAGGGGAGAGGTCAGATGGGTCTGTAAAAAAGGAAGATTAGAAAGACTCAGTGATGCTTGGGGTTGGTACTGAGGGGACAGGCGGGAGGGAAAGAGGGAAGATTTGGGATGAGTTGCACTGGGCACAGAGACCAGGAAGGGACTGATGTGTAAAAGAATGCCTGGACGTCAGGCACCTCAGACCGTTTGCCTATTTTACGACAAGAATTATTTAGATTTTGCAGGATGGAAAAATTTAAAGTGCCATTTTCTGGCTATTTGGAACTACTGTCGAGTTTGTATTGGGGTCAAGCGGCATTGCAGAAGAAAATGCATTTAGGTTTTAGGTCAGGTGTGAGTTGAAGAGGTTTTAAGTTTTTGAGAACACAGGCCAAGGGAGTAGAAGGAGGAATGGAGGGTGGAAGGTTGCCTATAGTGAAGGAAGCAAGCCTAGAGAAAAGAGAGAGTAGAGAAATGGAGGGAAGGGGTTCGGGGGTTCTTACCTTCCAGAAAAGTGGGAAAAGGGGTTGGGGCGCAGAGATAAGAGGTCGGGGCACGGAAATAAGGGATGGGACTCAGAAATAAGGGGTTGGGGCACAGAAATAAGGGGTCGGGGCACAGAGATACGAGGTTGGGGTGCAGAAATAAGCGATTGGGGATTCTTGCCCCCTAGAAAAGCAGGACTTGCCACTAAGGGTGAAAGAGAAGGGGTTGAGGGGTACTTGCCCCTTCCCCAGGAAAGCGGGACTTGCCGCTAAGGGTGAAGGAGAAGGGGTTGAGGGGTACTTGCCCCTGCCCCAGGAAAGCAGAAAAGGGGTAGAGACAAGGAGAGAAGGGGTTGAGGTACTTGCCCCTTCCCCAGAAAAGCGGGACTTGCCGCTAAGGGTGAAGGAACAAGGCAGGCGTCCCTGCGTGGTCTGACACCCTTGAAACGTGGGTGTATAATCAGAGAGGTGTCCCTGCAATGATTAAACACCAAGGGAAGGCTGCCTTCCCAGTCTGTGACTGGCGCCGGAGTTTTGGGTCCACGGATAAAACGTGTCTCCTTTGTCTCTCCCAGAAAATGAAAGGAATTGAAATTAAGAGAAGGGAGAGATTGAAGAGTGGAAAGGAGAAAGTGGTTGAGGGACAGTGAGAGAGGTTGGAGAAGAAAGTAAGAAGAGGCCGCTTACCTGATTTAAAATTGGTGAGATGTTCCTTGGGCTGGTGGGTCTGAGGACCTGAGGTCGTAGGTGGATCTTTCTCACGGAGCAAAGAACAGGAGGACAGGGGATTGATCTCCCAAGGGAGGTCCCCCGATCTGAGTCACAGCACCAAATTTCATATGCGTCGGTGTGAAGAGACCACCAAACAGGCTTTGTGTGAGCAACATGGCTGTTTATTTCACCTGGGTGCAGGCGGGCTAAGTCCAAAAAGAGAGTCACCCTCATTTGCATTTTCCTGATGACTAATGATGTTGAGCATCTTTTAATACGTTTATCGGTCATTTGTTTATCTTCTTTGGAGAAATGTCTTTTCAGACATTTGGTAATTTTTTAATTGGTTTGTCTTTTTATTTTTGAGTTGCAAGAGTTCTTTATATATTCTAGATATGTGTCCCTTGTCAGATACATAATTTGCAAATATTTTCCCTTATTCTGTGGGTTGCCTTTTCACTTTCTTCATAGTGTCCTTTGTAGGACAAAATTTTTTAGTTTTAATGAAGTTCAATTTATCTTTTTGTTGTTGTTCATTGTGCTTTTGGTGTCATATCTGAGAATCCATTGGCAAATCAAAGGTCACAATAGTTTATCTCAATATTTTTTCTAAGAGTTTTATAATTTTGGCTCCTACACTTAAGTCTTTGATCCATTTTGAGTTAATTTTTATATACAGTGTGAGTTAAGAGTCCAACTTTATTCCTCAGCATATGGCGATCCTATTGTCTCAGCATCATTTGTTGAAAATACGATACTTTCTCCCATTGAATTGTTTTTGCAGTCTTGTTGAAAATCAATTGCCATAGATACATGAGTTTATTTCCGAACTTTTAATTATTTTCCATTAATCTATGTCTATCCTTATACCAATATCATATTGTCTTGATTACTGTTGCTTTGTATTAAGTTTCAAAAGTGGGAAGTGAGTCCTCCAGTTTGTTCTTTTTTTCCAAGAACAAAAAAGTTTGGGCTATTCTGAGTTCTTTGAGTTTCCATATGAATTTTTAGAACAGCTTGTCAATTTCTGCAAAGAACCAGCTGGTGTTCTAATACAGATTGCATTGAATCTATAGATCAGTTTGGAGAGTATAGCTGTCTTAACAATATTTAATCTTCTCATCTATGACCAAGGGATGTCTTTCTATTTATTTAGATCTTAAATTTCTTTCAGCAATGTTGGGTAGTTTTCATAATTTAAGTTTTGTGCTTCTTTTGTCAAATTTCATAATGGATCTTGTTTTAGTAAAAAGTATTCCTCATGCATACTTATCCTAAAGTATAAGACGTACTTACACTAAAAAAATTATTCATTGTTTCTATAAAATTCAAATTGAACTGGGCATTCTGTATTTTATCTAGTAACCCTATCTTAAAAGTGATCAAAGAGTAGAATGAAGCACCTGAGCCTAAAGCTATGAAGGGCATCTGGGTATCCAGGGACTGGAAGAGAGACAAAGATAATTAGAACTATACAAAGGCAAATATTTAGCTTATAGGAGGTTATAACAGTTAAGCACCAGCGAGCTATTTTGTTCCTAGAAAGTGTTTCACTTTAAACTTTACTCTGAAATATCGTGTTTCTTTGAAGAAGAAAGCAAACATTTTGAAAATAAGTGCCATTCATCTAAATTCTCAGAAAAGAATATTTTGGTGTTGAGGTTCAAGACAGTAGTAAACCCTGAGCTATGTCTGCTACTGTCATCAAAATTGCCTTCATTCTCCTATGGCCAGAAACTTTGAATTCCCATGAAGCCTATGTGACACTGGTATGATGTGAGCTCTGGCTGGGATTGTTTCACTTTTGAGAAATCATTTTTTTCAGCCTAGTGTATATTAAGAAATAACTCCTTATGTCAAAATCCTGATTGGAGCCTTACCAGAATTAGCCTGTCCGTGCAAAAGAACAGAGCCAGCAAAAATGGAGTCATGACAGAAAGAAAAAAGATATGCAAAGAGCACTCATAGGAGAGAAAATGCACTTCTGGAGTAACAAGTGGCGTAACAGCAGGAACTTTTGCAGAATAGATTGGAGAAAACAAAGCTATCTTAGAAATCAAATTTAAAAAACAGTACTTCAAGTAAACTTGAAGTATCCAGAGATACAAAATCTATGAATAATAAAGGCGCTGATAAAAAGATGCCACGTCCCAGGCAGATCAGGCTGGGTCAAGGACACCACAAGACTCTCAGAAATGAATCAGTAGAGCTAAGCAATGTTCTTTAGCAGGGAATAAAATGAACCCTCTACAGGAATGCTTCTGTAAGTCACACCGACTAAAGATTCTTACTGTATCTTTCGAGAAGGAACATTGTGTGTGGTATAAACTCTCTGTGTATTGTATACATGCTTATACATAATTATGCCTATGTCGACTTGACACTGCAATTTTCTTATATTTAACTTACAGGTATGGAAAAGCATGTCTAAGGGCATGAGATGGATAGCTATTTGGGGCCACATCAGGAAATTCCAGGCAAAAGGCAGTTTCTTCTTTTCCATTAGAATCCAGAAACTTTGCAGGCTCCTCTGGTAGCCACATTTATTCCCATTCTGATGTGGCATCTTCACACAGACCCCAATATCTAGGAGAGTTCATTTCCTTCCCTGCTACTAGGTTTTTTACTTCTTATTCTAATTCAGTGAGGGGGAGTTCCAAACAAAATATCAAACTTTAAATGCAAGTTTTAAGCTATTAAAAAAGTAAGCAAACATTTAGACCTTAATTTCTAAATAAAAACTCTGACAGAAAGTAAGTGAAAATGGATTTGCATCTTAAATAAACCACCCAAATTGTATCTGCCTTTTTGAAAATAGACATTTCTTGAAAATATGTGTAATTGTATTTCTACAGATTAAAGATTGCAGGTAACAAAATTAATCAAGTAGAAAATAATCTTGAAAATTTTGAAAGAGAAAAATTATTAGATGACAATGAAAATGAAGCTGAGATATGCAAAAATTTCAGGAGATCCCATATAATTATATTAATTCTACAAAAAGAGCAGAAGCCACAGCCAAAGAAATAACAGAAGAAAACTTTCCCAATCCAAAGAAAGATCTGAGTCTATAAATGAAAAGGACTCACCAACCACCAGGCAAGATAAATTAAAAGAGATAAACATCTTAAACCAGTGTTTCCAAGTAGGTAGTCTATGGAGTCCCACAATATTTTAGTAGGTTTCTATAAAAAAAATTAGTGTTTTGTAGGTAATAAAATTTGGGATTTAAAAATTTCTTTACTATAAATATTTCCAGAACCTTAATATAATTATGAGATTATTAATCCATGAAAGGGGGACATAAAATATAGTGTTTTTCAAATTAGTGGACCACTGAATTCTTTTTGTCACAGAATGCCTTTTAACCACCTTTTAAAATACACCTTAGGGAATCATAACTTTTATTTAAAAATCAACTTTGTTTGAGAAATATATACTTCCCAAGGAGAAAAAAAAAGATTAGAATTAAAGATAGATAGTGTATTAGTCCATTCTCATACTGTTATAAAGAACTACCTGAGGCTGGGTAATTTATGAAGAAAAGAGGTTTAACCAACTCACAGTTCCATAGGCTGTACAGGAAGCATAGTTGGGGAGGCCTCAGGAAACTTACAATCGTGGTGGAAGGGCAAAGGGGAAGCAAGCACCTTTTTTGCATGGCATAGCAAGAGACAGAGTGAAGGGGGAAATGCCACACACTTTTAAACCATCAGATCGCATGAGAACTCACTCACTATCATGAGAACAGCAAGGGAGAAATCTGCCTCCATAATCTAATCACCTCCTAGCAAGTCCCTACCCCAACATTGGAAATTAAAATTCAACATGAGATTTGGGTAGGGACACAGAGCCAAACCATATCAGATAGCAAAATGTTAGGAGAGCTTATCTCTAGGTGGCGGTCTTATTTCTGCTTTTATTTTTCTTCTTTATGTTTTCCTGTCTTTCCAACATTCTTATAACACTTTCAGAATCAAAATTACAGGGTCTGTTAGTTACATTAGATGATGGAATTAGATATATGGGATAGCAGTTGGAAGTGCTGGCCTTACAAAGCAACTAGGAATGGTAGAGTTCCAACTCAGACCTGGCTTTAGTCTTTGTCCCAATTCCTGTGTCCAATCAACTCTACCAGGGATTGCTGGGCTGCCTATTTACCTCTCACACTGTCTCCCCTCTTGCTGTAAGCCAGAAGGCCTTGCCAATTCTTAGGGGGTACTCCAGACTTCTTCCACAAGGCTAACAAATGAAAATTAATGCAGCAAAAAAACCAGTTATTTGTTTATATTTTATTTTGTTTTTCATTTCAATAGGTTTTTGGGGAACAGGTGGTGTTTGATTACATGGAATAGTTCTTTAGTAGTGATTTCTAGATTTTGGTGCACCCATCATCTGAGCAGTATACACTGTACTCAATGTGTAGTCTTTTATATCTCACCTCCCAACCCTTTCCAGTCTCCAAAGCACATTGTATCATTCTTATGCCTTTGTGTCCTCATAGCTTCACTTCCACTTATGAGTGACAACATATGATGTTGGGTTTTCCAGTCCTGAGTTACTTCACTTAGAATAATGGTCTCCAATTCCATCCAGGTTGCTGTGAATGCCATTTTTTCATTCCTTTTTATGGCTGAGTAGTATTCCATGTGTGGGTGTACACACACACACACACACACACACACACACACACACACACACACATATCACATTTTCTTTATCCACTTGTTGAATGATGGGCATTTGGGCTGGTTCCATATTTTCACATGGGCTGGTTTCATATTTTTGCAATTGTGAATTGTGCTGCTATAAACGTGTGTGCAAATATCTTTTTTATATAATGACTTTTTCCTCTGGGTAGATACCCAGTAGTGAGATTGCTGGATGGAATGGTAAATCTACTTTTAGTTCTTTAAGGAATACTTAGGAATATACCTACCAAGGAGGTGAACAACCTCTACAAGGAAAAGTACAAAACACTGCTGAAAGAAATCATAAATGACACAAACAAATGGAAACACGTCCCATGCTCATGGTTGGGTAGAATCAATATTGTGAAAATGACCATACTGCCAAAAGCAATTTACAAATTCAATGCAATTACCATCAAAATACCACCATCATTCTTCAAAGATCTAGAAAAAAGAATCCTAAAATTCATATAGAGCCAAAAAAGAGCCCTCATAGCCAAAGGGAGACTAAGGACAAAGAACAAATCTGGAAGAATCACATTACCCAACTTCAAACTATATTATAAGGCTATAGTCAGCCAGGCACAGTGGCACATGCCTGTAATCCCAGAACTTTGGGAGGCTGAGGCAGGTGGATCGCTTGAGACCAGGAGTTCAAGACCAGCCTCACCAACATGGTGAAACCCTGTCTCTACTAAAAAAATTACAAAAATTAGCCAGGCATAGTGGCACATGCCTTTAATCCCAGCTACTCCGGTGGCCAAGGCATGAAAATCACTTGAACCTGGGTGGTGGAGATTGCAGTGAGCTAACATCGTACCACTTCACTCCATCCTAAGTGACAGAGTGAGACCCGGTCTCAAAAACAAGAACAAAAACAAAAAGGCTATAGTCACCAAAACAGCATGGTAGTGATATAAAAATAGGCATATAGAACAATGGAAAAGAATAGAGAACCCAGAAATAAAGCCAAATACTTACAGCCAACTGATATTCGATAAAGCAAACAAAGACATAAAGTGGAGAAAGGACACAAAACAAATGGTGCTGGGATAATTGGCAAGCCACATGTAGGAGAATGAAACAGGATCCTCATCTCTCACCTTATACAAAAGTCAACTCAAGATGGATCAACGACTTAAGTCTAAGACCTGAAACCATAAAAATTCTAGAAGATAACATCAGAAAAACCCTCCTAGACATTGGCTTAGGCAAAGACTTCATGACAAAGAACCTAAAAGCAAATACAACAAAAACAATGATGAATAGATGGGATTTGATTAAACTAAAAAGCTTCTGCACAGCAAAAGAAATAATCATCAGAGTAAACAGACAACCCACAGAATGGGAGAAAATCTTCACAAACTATGCATCCGACAAAGGACTAATATCCAGAATCCACAAGGAACTCAAACAAATCAGCAAGAAAAAACCAAACCATCCTATCGAAAAGTGGGCTAAGAACATGAATAGACAATTCTCAAAAGAAGATATACAAATGGCAAACAAACATAGGAAAAAATGCTCAGAATCACTCGTGATCAGGAAGATGCAAATGAAAACCACAAGGTAAGACCACCTTACTCCTGCAAGAATGGCTATAATAAAAAAATTAAAAAATAAAATAGATGTTGGCATGGATGTGGTGAAAAGGGAATACTTTTCACTGTTGGTGGGAATGTAAACTAGTACAACCACTATGGAAAACAGTGTGGAGATTCCCAGCTAGATTTACAAAGAGAGGACTTCAAATAAGAAAACAAAAACCTGGCAAGCAGTCCCACTCCCAGTCTTCTGACATTTGAGGAGGATGGGTATAAAAAGAAGAAGAGCTTTTTCAGAGTGGGTGGCACGAGGTAGCATTAATTAGCTAAAACAAAAATCAGAGCACGTTTCTTTCCCAACCCTATATAAATCAGTGGAAAACCTGTTGTGTTAGTGCTCCCAAACAATCCGACTATCAATTTTAGATATAGTATATGCTCCTGTTTCTGTAGAAAATTTAACTTTCTATCAATTGTTCAGAAAAAATGTGACCATGAAGACCTGATAGTCCTTAGATTAAGGTTCTCCCAGTCTTTTTTTCAACTAACCCTATAAAACAGCCATCTATGTCAGCCGCCTATTGTCAGAGTAATGCCGCTTGACAATTTCAAAATCCAGCAGCTTTCAACAGCAATCCCTTATTCTTGCTTGCGTATCTGTGGGTTGGCTAGAGGTCAGCTGATCTAGGCTGAGCGTGATTCCAGAACTGTTTCATGTGGCGTCTCTCTTCCTCCTCCTCAGACCACCAGGCTGACCAGAGTATTTTCTTCTCATAACAACGGCAGAAACAAAGACAGCAACTGAAAACACAAATGCTTCTTAAGGATTAAGCCTGGAACTGGTACATGGTCACTCTGCTCGCATCCTATTGGCCACAGGAAGCAAAATATTCAAACCCAACATCAATGCCTCTAGTGGAGGAATTCAAAAGCCACATGGTAATGGCTGTGCCTACAAGGCTATAAAAATTGGAGCCAATAAGTCAGTATACCAAAATGTCTAACATGGTTGCTATTCCCTTACAGTATATAGCACCAAGTCAATAGTTATCTGGTTTGCTCTAAGATATCTGTAGCACTCTGAACTCATCTGTATTTCTTTGTTTGCATTCTTCTGGTGACAAACAAGCACATCTAATAACTGCTCCTTCCTCAGATTCTGGTTTTCCTCAACAGAAAGATTTCTGGAACTCATTCTGACTTCAGCCTTCTTAATATACTGCTTGGGTGAATATAAAAGCAGTTCATGGAAGATTCATCTGCCCTGCACCAGATGAAGTAGGAGCCTTCAGTTTTATGGGGGGGGGGGGGGGGAGAAATTCCCTGATTTAAATATTTTTAAACATGCTGTTTTATTATTTTAGATATGATGGCTTTGTTGAATCTCTGATATATTTTCTTGCAACAGAATATGTATCTCATTCCTTTGTTTTCCCAGAGGCTTAATACAGCTCTGGCCATGTGTTCCTAACTACAAATCAAGGTAGATATGCTGACAAGGAGACTTTTTAAAATTGGCAATTACTGCATTTGACATATTGTCTATTACTGATCATTTGTATTCTTCATATTTCCTCTCACAAGGTATTAAATTTTGATTAAACCCAAGGACCTCTGACTGTCATCCATTAATAGGGAGAATTCTGTAGAGTCCTAGACAACATTTTTATATGCAAAATGAGTTAGTAACCTATCATGCTGATTGGTCCAGTGTGGATCCCCCTAAGTCCTAACCACTCCCTTGAGATTAGCACTAAATCTTTCCACCAGCCTACAACATTCTGGGTGACAAGCAATATTTTTTAATGAGGTTCCACTTACACAAACATTTTTATCATCTCTGAAGAAAATTTATACTTCTTTTTGCCAGAATCTCAGGCCAGAAACATCCAATGAAATGATGTAAAAGGTTCTCAGGAATAACAGAAGTCAATGTCACTGTTCCTGGGTTTGTCAAGCACAATCCAATCTTACAAAAATAACATCAGAACTCACTGTGTGCCAGGCCATATGCTAAGTGCTTTCCATAAAGCATCTTAGCAAATCCTCACAACAGCCTTGTGAGATAGGTACCATGGCCTCCAGGGATACTGATGAGAACTTTGACCTTGCAGTCCTTATAGATATTAACAGAGCCTGGATTTGGACTCAAATGCATCTGACCACATAGTTTATTTTTCACTTTGAAATGTCCCCTTCACCTCTATCTTCATGATGGGGAGAGATCATAATGGTACTTCAATCTCCAACCTCAGATGTGTTACCAAGGTCTGCATCGGCTACATATTGTATTGATCCAACATTAAGAAACACCTTAAAAACTGTCATCAAATACTGCTAAACTATCAGAGCAAATCCTGAATAATTTTCCCCATGCTTCTTCTGTGTCTCTGGAAGAATACGATACCAAGAACTCCTTGGTTCCTGGGTACACATTGAATCCGGGGCCCAGGACCCAGATGCCTTTCCCTTAGGCATCTCCTGATTGTTTATTCTATTTTTTTCTCCTCAATACACATAATTCATATAATCACCCTTCTTCCACATGTTTTATTCACTTCCCTGTTTACTAATTAAAGTTTCTTACTTAGAAAAACAACTTCCATGCAAATATTCATAGCAATATTTTTCAAAATAGCAAAAAACTGGAAACAACCTAAATGTTCATCAACTGGTGAATGGACAAATATAATTGGTATATCAATACAAGGGAGTACTACTCAGCAATCAAAACGAATGAAATACTGATAAATGCTGCAACTCAGATAAACCTCAAAAATATTATGCTAAGTGAAGAAGCCAGATGCAAAAAAACCCCACACATTTTATTATTCCATTTATATGAAATTCCAAGAAAAAGCACATCTATGCAGACAGAAAAAACTCTGGTGACTTCATGGGGCTGGGTGAGAATGGGGATTAACTGTAAAAAAGAGAGACTCTTGGCTGGCACAGTGGTTCATGAGTGTAATCCCAGCACTTTGGAAAGCCAACACAAGAGGATCGCCTGAGGTCAGGAGTTCAAGACCAGCCTGGCCAACATGGCGAAACCCTGTCTCTACTGAAAAATACAAAAATTAGCCAGGCGTGGTGGCAGGTGCCTGTAATACCAGCTACTAGCTGTAATACTAGCTACTCAAGAGGCTGAGGCAGGAGAATTGCTTGAACCCGGGAGGTGGAGGTTGCAGTGAGCCGAGATCATGCCACTTCACTCCATCCTGGGTGACAGAGCAAGACCCTGTCTCAAAAAAAAAAAAAAAAAGAATCTTGTTGGGGGGATAAAAATGTTCTAAAACTGGACTATGGGGATGGTTGCACAACTCAGTAAATTCACCAAAAACTATTGAACTGCACACTTTAAATTAGTTAATTTTAGAGTATATAAACTGTACCTAAATAAAGTTTAAAAAATAATCCATGGATAATAATTTTTGATCACATAAAAAACTGATCAAATTCTTTGGACAGTAAGCCAGCGGAAAAATTGATTTTTTATCAGTACACTAAAGGTAGAAATTCCTACCTCAAAGACAATTATTTGGATATCAAATCAGATATTAAAATTTAAGTGTTTTGAAAACTGAAAAACGGTTAATTGATGAAAGATTCCTTAGGTTCAGTGGTGAATGGAAATTATCTCATTCTGTCCTCTAGGTGGTGCTAGAATCTAAAAATGAGCAGCCTCACGGTAAATGCGGCAGCTTTGTACAAAATTACCTTTCTTTAATAGGTGACATCCCTAAAGGGAGTTCTCAGTCCAATTGTCTTTTAGTCCAGAGCCTTCTCCTGAATTAACCTCAGGATAACAGACATCCAACTTCAGTTCCAGTCTTCCAGCTATACTGATAATTTTTTAATTTTTAATTTTGTGTAGCTTCCTCTTTGTCCTGTTGAGCCATTCATCATCCATTTCTTTCCACTTTTATGAAAACTGTAGTTTCCATCAAAATTTACCCTTCTTTTTAATTGCATTTTCAATACTCTTAGTACTTAAGTGGGGATGAGGGAGTTGATTTGTCAGGCCATTTGTAAAATCAAAGGAAAGCCAAATATTGGGAGGCCAAGGCAGGCGGATCACTTGAGGCCAGGAGTTTGAGAGCAGCCTGGGCAACATCGCAAAACCCTGTCTCTACTAAAAATACAAAAAATCAGCCAGGCGTGGTGGCACATACCTGTAGTCCCAGCTACTCAAGAGGCTAAGGTAGAAAAATTGCTTGAACCTGGGAGGTGGAGGTTGGAGTGAGCCGAGATCATGCCACTGCACTCCAGCCTGGGTGACAGAGTGAGACCCTGTCTCAAAAAACAAACAAACACCCAAACATAGCAAACAATGGCCACATCAGTGAAGAAATTCAGCTGAAGTTCCCCTGCCTGCTCCTGCCATCTGTTAGTGGTAGGAACAGCTGATGTGCTATTACTTTGCTATGTGATGTCCAGTTTTATATATATGAAAGTTCATGCATAAAAAGTTGTAATAAGAGCTTTGATATCATGTTCAGGAGTTCAATGTGAGCCTAGCCCTATTTCTGTACCAAAAACCCCATAGATTTACAGACTGTCTTTTTGCCCTTTATCTGATGGTTTCCAAAAGCATTTGGATCAAGCAGGACAGCCAAGAGTCCACAGCACAAAGCATACTGGCCCTGCTGTACAGCAAGAACATAAAGTGTTATTATCTGAGCCCCTGGGCTTCCATATTAAGCTAATGAGTGGCAGGGCTGGTCCCTCAAGGGAGTAGGAAACTTGAAGTTTGTGTCTCATGATATGTCTTGCAAAAGGAAGCTTACAGAAGCAGCATGCAAACATGCACTGAAGAGTTGTGCAAACAGACAGCTCATTACTGAAAATTCCTCACTGGCGAAAGTAATTTTGCACAAGGGGAAGGGTTTGAAAAACAGCTCTTGCCTCCTGAAGCCCTTTCTGTGGTGGAAACAAATCAGCTTTTAAAATACAATACCATAGTGGCTTTAAAAAGTGGTATTTAAGCAGCATGAAAATAGCCTACGAGAAATTAATGCAAAATCAATTCAGGCACATAATTTACATCTGCTGTGTTACCCAGAATGGCTCTCTTCTATAACTGGAAATCTATGGACCTAATTCTGGGATGACTGGAAGGAGTTTTATATCTTTTGGGATGTAGCCAAACAATCTGTCACCAGGAGGAAAATCTTGTAACCCTTAAGGGCCAGCAGAAGCTAGGGTCCTGTTGTTAGAACAAACATACACTTAAAATTAACAGCCAACAAAATAGGTGGTGTTCACAGGTCTAGACCTTTAAATCCAGCCCTGTGCCCAAACCTGCAGTCTTTCCACACTCATCAGGCTCTGTCCTTCCTAAATATAGTTCATGAGCTGTTTCTGCATTGAGAGTTGACAGTGAATGTCTGGAGGAGACACAATCAACACAATCAAACTCATTGCTGTGCTGGACCTGGCATCCTGGCTTCTCACTGAATCAGTGGGCAAACAGAAGTCCCGCAGTGGGTCTTCCTCTCTATTTCCCATCCCTGCGCTGGGTATGATGCTGATTCAGTTCATCAAAACCATGTGAGTTAATTTGCACAAAGTACACTTCAAGTTCCCAGTTTTGAAAGTCATTATAACGAAAGAGAACAAGAAGGAGCATCCCAGGAGTGGGAGGGGAACGAGAAAAAGATGACCTCAGGAAGTCTTGGGAAGTTGTTAGAGTTTCAATAAAAGGGAATTTCAAGGAATAGGAAGTTGGTAAGCGTGTCAAATGCCACAGGGAAGATGAGTAAGATAAGGACTCCATGTGCCCATTAGGCCCAGCCTTGAGGGCAGCACTTGGGGATGCAGTTGTGTGGAGTGAGAGGGGAAGTCGGGGGTTGAGTGATGAGACAAACAGACAAAGGTGCCTGGCTGCCTTCTCTTGTAAAGAGAGATGGGAGGGACATTGCCATGTGGAGGCAATAAATAGGAGAGAAGTTTTTTTATACTGCAAACTTTTTAAAATAATACTGCCTGCCTGTATCCAGTGCTGAAATCATAGACCGGGAATTCTTATCTTGACTGAGGCACCATCTTCCTGTGAATGGAGTCATAGTAGGTTTTCGATACATATTTGTAGGAAGAAGTGAATCTGCAATCTTGGAACTGGTTATATGCAGCTTATGTTGAAAGCAGGAATACTTTTTAATCAGGTTGAAAGATTTCCACTCTCTTCTTTTTTAAGGTTTTGCAGGTCTCAGTTGTGTGACCTGGGACTAGTTGCTTCACTTCTCTATGCCTCAACTTCTTCATGTATAAAAGTGTAAAAGTGCATAGTGTATGTACATATAAGAGTGCATATGGCGGGGCGCAGTGGCTCACACCTGTAATCCGAACACTTTGGGAGGCCGAGGTGGGCGGATCACGAGGTCAGGAGTTTGAGACCAGCCTGACCAACATGGTGAAACCATGTCTCTACTAAAAAAACACAAAAATTAGCCAGGCATGGTGGTGTGGGTGTAATCCCAGCTATTCAGGAGACTGAGGCAGGAGAATTGCTTGAACCTGGGAGGTGGAGGTTGCAGTGAGCTGAGATCGCACCAGTGTACTCCAGCCTGAGTGACAGAGCGAGACTCCGTCTCAAAAGAAAAAAAAAAAAAGAGCGCATAGTTCAGATTAAGCAGATTACACTATTTGTTATTATTATTATTACTTGTTATCCTGGACCAATGGGAGACAAGTATTATCTGTACTATAAATCTAAATAACTTGGAAAATATTTTTGTACAAGGGGAACAGTTTAAAAAACAGCTCTTCCCTCCTGAGGGCCTTCCTGCGGTGAAAACAAATTGGCTTTTAAAATGTAACACCATAAAACATCTTTTAAAATGCCAAATACAATACCAAACAAGTTTTTTAAAAATAAAATGAATCTGACAGCGATGGCTTGCCTAATTGTGCTTGTGAAGGAAAGAAACCACAGCACCATGTCAGGGTCACAGCAGCCCACCTGTACCAGGGCTGTGTGGCTCTGGAGGATGGAGTGGGGAGACAGCTCACCTGTACCAGGGCCACTATGGCTCTGGAGGGCCAGTGGGGAGACAGCCACCATGCTGCAGGAGAGGCCCAGAGGGAGGGCCTGGGTGTGTGCAAGCCCAGAATAGGCCTCTGGTAGCACTCCAGGAAATCTTGACCAACTCCACGGCAGGATCTTGTCAGTGTTCTTGCACCGTGAGGATCCGGGCAAACCCCCAGGGGGAGCCTCCAGGCTGCATGCCTCTGTCACAGTGAGTGACGAGTCCTCTCACCTGTACCCATGATGAGGTGAACTGAGGGAGTTTCTTGGGAAGTACCCTAAAATGAGACAGAGCGGTAATCTTACAGAAGCAGGCTCTGTCCGTGGCATAGAGGCAGGGGTGCTCAGAGGTTACTGCCCTGCCTCGAGAATCAGGTGGGTCTGGTTTGAAATTGTGGCCTCATCACTTAGCTTGGGCGAATCACTCAACTTCTGACCCTCAGCTACTCATCCGCCAAATGTAGTTAATAATAAGGCCTGCCTCCATGTACACCTACGTAATAAACCTGCACGTTCTGCACAGAACTTAAAATTAAAAATCCCAGCACTTTGGGAGGCCTAGGCGGGCAGACCACGAGGTCAGGAGATAGAGACCATCCTGGCCAACACGGTGAAACCCCATCTCTACTAAAAATACAAAAAAAATAGCTGGGCGTAGTGGCGCGTGCCTGTAATCCCAGCTACTCAGAAGGCTGAGGCATGAGAATTGCTTGAACCCGGGAGGCGGAGGTTGTAGTGAGCCAAGATTGAGCCACTGCACTCCAGCCTGGCAATAGAGCAAGACTCCATCAAAAAAATAAATAAATAAAATAAAAAATAAGAAGAAGGAGAAGGAGAAGGAGGACGAGGAGAAGGAGAAGAAAAGAAGAAGAAGAAGAAGAAGAAGAAGAAGAAGAAGAAGAAGAAGAAGAAGAAGAAGAAGAAGGAAGAAGAAGGAAGAAGAAGGAAGAAGAAGGAAGAAGAAGAAGAAGAAGAAAGCAGAAGAAGAAGAAGAGAAGAAGAAGAAAGAAGAAGAAGAGAAGAAAAGAAGAAGAAGAGAAGAAGAAAAGAAGAAGAAAAGAAGAAGAAAGAAGAAGAAGAAGAAAAGAAGAAGAAGAAGGAAGAAGAAGAAGAAGAAGAAAGAAGAAGAAGAAGAAGAAGAAGAAGAAGAAGAAGAAGAAGAAGAAGAAGAAGAAGAAGAAGAAGAAGAAAAGAAGAAAAGAAGAATAGGGCCTGCCTCAAAGATGATGGGAGGATTTGAGGAGCTAAGGCGGGGTCTCAATGTTGGGCCCACAATGGCTATTTTTTTCCTTCAGTCAGCAGCTCTAGCTCCTGCCATCCTCTACTTTTGTCCTTCACTGAAAAGCAACATTTCTAAATGTAACTTCCAATTCCTGATGTTTTGTCAGCTTCTAGGGAGAGTAACAATTCCCTTCCTTGTTCTCACAAAGATCCAGGATTGAAGTTGGGGAGGGTTGGTGATAAAATTGTTTTTCTTCTTTCAAAAAGTCAAATACTAAGTTCATGTGTCTCTTACTGGTTTCTCTTTGACTCATCTTAGTGCCTGACGCAAATTGTGTATTTCCTGTCTCATTCTCTTTATCTGAAAAATGGGCTTTATTTAATCATTTTCCCTCCCTGCCTTTCAGCACAACCTCACTGTTTTGAGACCTACAATCTATAAACTGCATTCAAATGTTCTGCTTCCAATTCTGCCTTTCAGGAGATAGTCTAGATTCCATTCCAGTATTAAGGAATGGGAGAAATCATTCTCCAGTAGTATCATTGGAGAACAATATCATAGAGCTGTGGTTCTCAATTTGGGTGACTTCGCCCCTGAGGGGACATTTGGCAATGTTTGGAGACATTTTTGGTCATCACAGCGGGCGGTGCGGAAGAAAGAGGATGCTACTGGCATTTAGTGGGTAGAAGCCAGGGATGCTACTCAACATTTTGTATTACACAGAACAGCCCCACAAGGAAGAATTGTCTGGCCTAAAATGCCAATAGTGCCAAGGTTGAGAAACCCTGCCATAAAGGATTTCAATGTGTGAATTTTCCTCAATCACTTTTTCTTTTTCCCTTTACATTGTTGTCCTTAGTTTCAGTTCTCATCCTCTCCTCCCTCATCCAGCCTCTCCTCCTCTCTCCTATCAATCTTTCTACTCCCTCCCCTTCTTACTGCTAAGTTATTTTTCATTCTCCCTACCTTCTGCTCTATCATTGTTTAATGTTCCCTCCAAATATTACCATCGTTTCCCATTTAGTGACCCTCCCTCAAAATTCCCAGCCTTTGGAAAATATTCTCCAAATTGTCATTCCAGCTTGGTCACTAAGTAGCTGGATAGCCCCTTGGGCGAGTCGCTTCACCTCTCCAGGCCTTGGCTTTCTCCCTGTAAATGGACATAGCACTAGATGATCTCTACAGCCCGAATTTGTGATTGACAACTGTCTTGGCAATTTGAATGACTAACAATCCTACAAGAAATATCAGCGTGAGAGAGGGACCCTGTTAAAAAAAAAATGCACTAAAAGCTCATTGGTATACAGTTAGAAAGAAAAAGATGTTTATGCAGGTGTGTGAGTATATGGAAATTCAATCCTGCCAAGGCAGTTGAAGGTAAGGTAAAATAAGTAGGTGGCTAACATTTTCAAAGAAATCTATGGAAAAATTAAATAAGCTAAAACAATATTGATTTCAGCCTTATTTATAATAATAATAATTGGAGACAATATAAATAGCCAACAATTGGAAATTGAGAAAAAAATCATGGTTTTTTATATGATAAAATACCATGCAGCCATTAAAAATAATAATTATGATCTTATTAATAACATGGACAATGCTTACATGCAGATTGCAAAATTATATGTAGTGTGTACTCACATTTACTCATACTCATATTTAGTAAAAAAGGGTATCATGACCTGTAGTGAACATATTTATTTAAATTAAATAATTTTGTCTTTTTTACTTACAGGTAATATATGTTTATTTGTAAATAATTTCAAAAACTCAGATAAGAAAAGGAAAATAAAATTATCTGTAATTCCACCACCAGAGTTGACCCCTGAGACATGTTTGCCTTTTTTCATTCATTAAAATAAAAATGGGGCTATACTGCTTTTGTAACCTACATTTTTTTCCTTGTCATTAAATAGTCCTCTGCAAGGGCATTTATATTAGTTGCACAGTATTCCTTTGTATCTGTACTGGATTTAACTTGGGGTGGGAAGATTGGGGTGGTAAATAAACTTTTAAAAAACGAAGAATATGGGTTAACAGCCAGCAACCTGGTGGACCTGAACTATTGATGCTTCTCTTCATTAGTAATCAATGGACTCTACATGAAGCAGATACTTCAGTAATGTTGGCTTGTTAGCACCTATCACAGAACCATACGTTGGCCTGTTTGGGTGGGGACCATGGAAGGAAAGACCTTTCCCTCCCACTCCACCTCCCTATTAAATGGGTGAATAGGGTCTTCACCTTCCCACTAACCTATAACCTGTATATTTGGTTTGATCAACCCAGAGCAGGAGAATCACCTGTGTGTGTTCCCACTCTCCTCCAATCTACCCCCACTTCCTTGCTGCATCTGGTTGAACTGAAGGGGCTGTCCTTTTCCCAAACCCTTTCTCCAGAATGTTGGGGGCAGGGGGCTCCAGGCCCTGTTTGCCATCAGGTTCCCATGGCACAGGCTCAGTCTGAGACGTTCCTCCCTCTGTGATTCAATGCCAAGTCTGCATTCTGCTTTCGTGTCTGGGGATATTATGATACCAGATTTATCTGGTTAAAGAAAAAATGCTTACCGGCTCATTTCTTTACTGGGGCACAATAGCTACTCTGAAAATCCTCTGAGGTTCACAAAAGCCTTATCTCCAAGATCAAAGCCTCAAGACCCGCAAGGATGGCTGCTCTGGTCAGGCCCACCTGATCACAATAAAATTCCACCGGAGTCAAAACTTTGCTTTGTTTTCATGCCTCCGCCCTCTGAGTCCCTGTCCCATCCCTTCCCAGCAGGCAGAAAATACCGGACAAACTAATTTTCCCATGTTCTTTGGAGATTCAACATGATGGCATTTGTAAAGAGAGGTATAAAAGGGTGATGCTTAATCCAAAGACATGACAGGGTGACTGTGGGGCCTTGGGTGTCCCTGAGGGGCTGTTTGACCAACTCGTGTTTCCACAGCTTTCCGCTGGGGATGCATCCTCTTCATTCCCACTGGAAGGGTTGGAGTAGGGAGGAAACCAAAATTCACTGAGCCCCACAATGTGCCAGGCAGGGTCCCAAGTGCTTTCCACATTTATTCCTCACAACACTGTTCACTAGGCATTGTTATCTCAATTTTAATATAGAATCACTGAGACTTCAAAAAGTTAAGTCATTGGCCCAAGGGGCACAGTCAGGATTTGAACCCAGGGCTGTTGATTTCAACATTACATTATAACCTTCCCATAAGACAAGGACTTATATATTTTTAAGAAAGAAAAAAGTGGGGGAGGGCAGCCGAGCGCAGTGGCTCACACCTGTGATCTCAGCACTTTGGGAGGCCAAGGTGGGCAGATCACGAGGTCAGGAGTTCGAGACCAGCCTGCCCAATATGGTAAAACCCCATCTCTGCTAAAAAACAAAAATTAGCTGGGCATGGTGGCACCCGCCTGTAGTCCCAGCTACTCGGGAGGCTGAGGCAGAAGAATTGCTTGAACCTGGGAGATGGAGGTTGCAGTGAACTGAGATTGAGCCACTGCACTCCAGTTTGGGCAACAGAGCGAGACTGTTTCTTGAGACTCTGTCTCAAAAAAAAAAAAAAAAATGGAGGAGGGAGCCTAAATGAGAGACATTCTGTGCTGTGACTTATCTGTTAATACAAATGTCTTTGCATGCAGTAAGCATTTTTACCTGAGCCCTTTTGCCCCAGGCATTGTGTATCCTATAGATTTAAAGGACAAGAAAAGTCTCCTCCAATCCACGTGTGTTGGTTGCATATTGCCTCTTCTGCCTTCCTTGTCCCTTTGCGGTTGCTTTTGTTCAGTCACAAGGGTGAGCCACAGAGCACCTGGAACAGCAGTCCTGAAAGTGTGGTCCCTAGACCAGCAACCTTGTCATCTCCTGGAAACATGCTGGAATTTGATTTCTTAGTTCCACCCCAGACCTGAATCAGAGATTCTGAGAGCGGGGCCCACAATCTGCATTTTAACAAGCCCTCCAAGTGATTCTGATGTGCTAATGCTTGAGAGCCACTGACCTAGAGAATGTCATTGGCATAAATCCTTGGCTCCATGCCCCCCCATCCAGTTTGTTGCTAAGCTTTGAGAATTCTGCCTCTGCCTCCTAGTTGGGCTGTCATTGTCCTACTTCAGGCCCTGTTAACTCCTACCTGCATTGCACCAGTAGCCTCCCCACCTCTCATCCCTCATTTTCTTCCAATCCATGTCACCCTTTGATACCATATCAGCTCTGTGCTCTGATGTTGCCATGCAACTGTTGGAAAAAAATTCCAACTGCTTAGCTTGATATTCAAGATCCTCCAAACTATACATCCCACTTTCATTTTTAATCTTATTTTATACTTACCCTTCCCTGTTTGCACCCTATACTCAAGTCTACAAAACTGCTTACTGTTTGCCACAGATTTGAACTTTCTCACTCTGGGCCTGGAATTGCCTCTCACTCATCCCACCACATCATTTAGGGTCCAGCTCAAAGACTCCTCCATGAGTCTTCCTTGAACATTCAAACTACAGAATCCCCCTCTTCTTCTTCTTCTTTTTTTTGGACAGAGTTTCACTCTTGTTGCCCAGGCTGGAGTGCAATGGTGTGATCTTGTCTCACTGCAACCTCCGCCTCCCTAGGTTCAAGCGATTCCCCTGTCTCAGCCTCCCAAGTAGCTGGGATTACAGATGTATGCCACCATGCGCAGCTAATTTTGTATTGCTTTAGTAAAGACAGGGTTTCACCATGTTGGTCAGGCTGGTCTCGAACTCCTGACCTCAAGTGGTCCACCCCTCTTGGCCCCCTAAAGTGCTGGGATTACAGGCATGACCCACCGTGCCCAGCCAGAGCCACTGCGCTTGGCCCCTTTCTTAAACTTATGTATAATTTATCTTTACTTCTCTTAGGGCTCTTATTAAATTATATAATATGTTTGCTTGTAAACTTGGTTTGTCTCCCTTGCTACTAGGTGTTAAGGAGTGGAGCTGTGTCTTTTTTCATCTTTGCATCTCCTACAGTATCATGCACAGTGGCAAAGCTTAATGCATAGTAGTGAATGAATGAATGAATGAATGAATGAATGAATGAATTGGATAACCTAAAAAAACCTGAATCCACAGTATGGACTCAGTTATGTTGGATTCATGTTAAAAAACTGATTTTCCACCCCTTATTTTTCTATAAGTTCTTATCAAAATTAATGATATTATTGTTATTTTTCTAACAAGGTATTGCCCATTTTATCTCCTTTCAAAACCAGGCCAGTTAGAAAGCACAGATTACAATATTATCAGGGATAACGGTGTCAGTAGAAGCCCATAGTTGCTCCCACAGTATCTGTGGCTTCAGTAGCAAAAAAGGATAAGAAAATTACATATTTTGTTGCTAACCTTCACCTTGAACAGCGTAATGGATAGCCAAACCCTAGCAGTTTCTCTTGCTAAGAATAAGGCAGAAACAACTCTCAAGGAAATGCTTTCTGGAACTTTGGAAGTCCCCAGTTACAGTCATTGGCCTGGCTTGATTCCAAAGTTGGGAAAGAGACTGCTCAGAGAAAATCACCTATATAGGTAGTGAAATACTTCTGCTCCGTTTTGATATCCCCATTCATTGAAGATCTTCCTCCATATGGGCTAAAAAGGATGACAGACGAGCATTTTTCAGGTCCTCAATCATCAAGCATGTGTGTTCAGCACCAAACAGAAACCAGAGCGGCAATCCCAGGTTTACCTTGCAGCAGGAAGCCTGTTGCTATGGAGACACAGATGTGCCTCCAGAGCAGTCATGATTCTGGCAGGTTTTAAATGTCCTTAGAAATCCAAAAGTTAAAGATACAATCTCCCCAATCACAGGCTATGGATTTCTAGCTCTGTGGGGCTTACCTTGCATCTTCTCTGTCACTTCACAATTGTCATTTCTCATGAAAGACTTTGTAATCTTTCTGAGCACTCACTTTTCAAGAGGGCAGTCAGCCCTTTCCCCCTGACCCTCATTCGGGCGGAGGAAGAAATAGGAAAATGGCACCCTCACCACGGAGTTGTGCCAGCTACAGCTTGACCTGAAGTGGCCTCGTCTGCTTCTGCCTCACTAAGCAGGACGATTTTCTGGCAGTGTGCAGCCCTTTCTGCTGTCACCTCAGCCCTGGGACTTGTCTATGATGTGTGCTGGCTCTAAGTGATAAGTCTCTGGGTGATCCTCTGTCATTTTTGCTTCCTTTTCTGCTGCATGAAGATTCTCATAAAAAGCACATGGATTTCCTAGGTCTGTATTTCATTTTGTGTCTATTGTGAAAGTCTTTTCTCTGAATGTCTTGAAGTGTCTGGACACCCTTCCTTTGCAAAAAACTCCATCATCTTCCCTACATCTCAAGATTAGGTTATAAATGGGAAGTTCATGTTGAGGTTGGTGTCACTGTGAGGCGGCCACCTGTAAGTGCCAAAAAGTACTGTTTGGGAGGAATAAATATTTAATAATATGGAAAGATGATCACTATATATTAAGATACAGGTTATGAAATAATTAACATTATAATACACTACATATACTTGCACATAAATATTTGTAAAAAGGGACCAAAAAGACCAACATGAAGTATTAACAATCCTTATCTCTCATAAGTAAGTGTGTTTTTTTTTTTTTTCATTTTTCTTCTAGGTACATATCTTTATTTTCCAAATTTTCTACAATGGACAGATTTTGTTTTGGTAATCAGAAAAGATGAGCAAAATATATTTTTAATTTTCTAAATAAATCAGCATCCCAATAAATAAGTTTGGATTCGTACATCCAGAAAGAAGAAGGATTAGTACATCTGGGGGTGCAGGTATACAGCATGATGCTTTGTGCTTAGCAATACAGGGCAGGTGAGCATGAACTCCTGGGACTTAGCACAGGCCCCACCCCTGAGGCAGGCAAGGCCCAGATTTCATCCCATTTCAGCCAGAGTTGACCCCAAAGAGCCAGTTGGGTAGCAGGTGATCCTCAGGAGTCAGGCACATGGGCTTTCTGCCTTAGTCAAATTTGGCAACTCAAACTATGGGGTAGGAGTAGTAGTGGCCCTCATTCTGAGGAATGGGAAGACCATCTAAGGAGCTGACAGGCGGCCCTGCCTTCCCTTGGCCCTTCCTTCCCGTAAGGATTGTGTTATGTATGCTTTTTGTCAGGGAACGGGCCAAAAAGGATCATTCCCCTTCTCTATCTCTTTAGGAGCAAACAACATCTCCTAGAAAGGCCAGTTATGTCAGGTAGATAGTGCAATACCCTCTGCTCCATCTTCATGGCCCAACTCACTGGAAACCTTCCTCTATTTGGGCTTAAAAAGATGACAAAGGACTATTTTCAGAGATCCTCATTTTTTTTTTTTTTTTGAGACGGAGTCTCACTCAGTCACCCAGGCTGGACTGCAGAGTGCAATGGTGCGATCTCTGCTCACTGCAACCTCCACTTCCCAGGTTCAAGGGATTCTCCTGCCTCAGCCTCCCGAGTAGCTGGGATTACAGGCATGCGCCACCATGCCTGGCTAATTTTTGTATTTTTAGTGGAGATGGGGTTTCACCATGTTGGCCAGACTGGTCTTGAACTCCTGACCTCAAGTGATCCGCCCGCATCGGCCTCCCAAAGTGCTGGGATTACAGGCATGAGCCACCACGCCCAGCCAATCCTCATTCTTTACATGGAACAATTCTAGAATCTATAGCCCAGTCATGGAGATAGGGTATTACCCCAAACCTCCTTTAGCATTAGAGCAATGGAAAGTCAGCCCCACCTGCTCTGAGGAAAGAGACTTCTGGTTTGGTGAAACTCTGAATGACTGAGTTAGGGGCTGTGGATGACCAGCAGCTGGGTGAATTAGGGAGCATAGGTAGGAGTAACAGGAATCAGCGTGGTCCCTGCAGCACCAAGGGACATCAACTTTTTATGGTAGAAGACATTCCTCAGAATTGGGGCATCTCAGGCCATACCACTTATTTATACCAAAGTCAACCCATTCTAAATCCAAACTCCCTTTTAAGGAGGTCTAAACCAACCTTAAAGGGATGTATTATAAAGATGGTTTAATCTCTAGAGATGGAGACTGAGCATTAGTATTTTTATAATCCTTCTGCTAACTCCAATGGGCAGCCACAAGGTCGAGAACCACTACTCTTGATTGATAGCAGATACTCCATTGAATGGCACCAGTAGGATCCTCACCACACCCATTACACCATGAGATTAGAGGTGGTGTTGTTCCTGTCTGTGTGGCCTGCTAGCCAGGTGTAACAGCTCTTCTCACAATTCTGTAAACAGCCAAGACTTTTAAAGTAAATTTCTTTTCTACCTAAATCAGCTGGAGTCATTTACTTTTACTTACACTAAGAACCTTGACTAACACAAACTCCAACCTCTATGTTGCCAAAACCCAATGTCCCTTTTCTGGCCTCAGCTTACTCAGCCTCTCAGGCTACATCGGACGCAATTAATCCATTATTTTCTTTCTGAAGCACTTCCAGAACACTTGGCATTTTGTGAGCACTCCAAATACTTCTCCAACTTCAGTAGTCCCTCCTTCTGTCTCCTTCTGATTCCTCTTTCTGTACTTTATCTCTAAATCATGGGTTTCCTTCTTTTTTTTTTTGAGATGGAGTCTCACTCTGTTGCCCTGGCTGGAGTGCAGTGGTGCGATCTCGGCTCACTGCAAGCTCTGCCTCCCGGGTTCACGCCATTCTCCCACCTCAGCCTCCTGAGTATCTGGGACTACAGGTGCGTGCTGCCATGCCCGGCTAATTTTTTGTATTTTTAGTGGAGACGGGGTTTCACCGTGTTAGCCAGGATGGTCTCGATCTCCTGACCTTGTGATCTGCCTGCCTTGGCCTCCCAAAGTGCTGAGATTACAGGCGTAAGCCACTGGGCCCAGCCATGGGTTTCCTTCTTAACTCAAGGTGATCTCATCCATTCTCATGGTTTTAAAACCATTGACATGTATGTATCTTCAGCACTGACCTTTCTCCTAAACCCCAATCTTATATATGCCTTCTAATCATACACAATATCTGCTATGGGATATCTAATATATCTCAAATTTGGCATGTCCAAAATGAAACTCTTGAGTTCACTCTTAAAACTGTTCTTCCCCATTTCCCCAATTTCAGGAAATGGTTTCACCATCCACCCAGTTGCTCAAACCAAAAATGCAAGAGTCAGACGTGTTTTTTCTCTTTTTCTTACTCCCCACATATAAACTCTCAAGTACTCTCAGTACAAACATATAATCCTAATTCAGCCTCTTCTTTCTATCTTCATGGTTCCTACCTGGTCCAAGCCACTACCAGCCTCTCAAAGCCTCTTAGCTGACCCTCCTATTTGAACTCTTCATTCCACGTTCCAAATAGCAGCCAAGGTGATAAAAAAACAAACAGACAGATATAAGTCAGATCCAATTCCTCCCATGGTTAGAACCTTCTAACAGCTGAGAATGAGATCTGAAGCTCTTATGTAGGCCTATAAGAGCTATGGTATTTCTACCTCTCCAATGTATCTTATATTACTCTCCCTCTCTACCATTGTGTTTCAGTCATATTGGCTACTTCCTATTATTCTAAAATGTCAAGCCGTCTCAACCTCAGGGCCTTTGCAGTTGCTGGCCCCTCTACCTGGAACACTCTCCCCTCAGTTACTTGCATATTCAACTTCTCATCATTCAGGTCCCAGTTCAAATCTCACTCCTTAGCAAGGCCTTTCATGATCACCTGATTGAATGAGTCATCCCCCAACTTCCACCACTCTCTATTATATATATATTTTCTACTTTTTTCATAGCACTTATCACTTTCTGAAATTATCTTATGCATATGTTTGTTTTTCTCACTGGAGTAGAAGTTCCATGGGAGCAGGATCTTACCTGTCTTACCCATTACACAATTTTCTGCACCTAGAACAGTCTCTGGCATGTACAAAGTAAGCTTTCAATATATATTTTTGAATGAATTAATTGACAATTTCCTAGAAAATCGTTTATCTCATCATCTGGTGAATCTAATTAAACATCAGCCTCTCTTCCTGCCTTATGATGTATAGTGCAGTGAATGGAACTTTTCCTTCTATGTTATCTGGACATCCTGTAGCAAATAAGGGTCACTGTAACCAATCAAATGACCACATGGAAAGGGGATGGATCTCCTAGCCAAACTTGGATTTCAGTCCTGTTTTCACCATTCATTCCTTCAACCCAACAGAAGATGTGGATAAGGGGGTGGGCAGCACACAAGCAACAGTTGAAGTCATGAGCATAGATGAATGGAAAAAAGAAAAGACAATGATCCCCCGGGCGATATCAACATGCAAGGGCTGGACTAGGAAACAGTTTCCAACGAAGTGGTTTCTAGAAGCCAAGGGCAAAGCAGTGTGTAGTCAACCCACCAAATGCACAGGAGGAGTCCAGTGAGGTAAGGACTGAGACTGTAGGGTCAAATAGATTATTTTTAAGTGTGAAGGTGACTTCTTAAGCCTGCTGATAAGCTGAAAAGAAAAACTCTGTGATATGGACAATTGATTTCCCTTCAAAATTCATTTCCAACTTCATATAATGAGGATCTGTCTTATCTACTTTAGATGGCTGTCAAATAGCATGTGTTCATTCAGTCTTCTAATACTGGTGGACGTGTAGAGATTTATTGAGAAAAGTACCTGTGAGGGAAAGGGAAGGAAGTTGGAAGAGGCCAGAAAGTCATCAAGCCAAGATGCACGTCCGAGCGCTATGGAGGAAAGAAGAAAGGATGGAAAGTTGGGTTTAAACACCTTACATCACTTTGCAGTTCTAAGAAAATTTCAGCGAGGCCAGTGGGGAGTCCTCAAGTCTCCCAGAAACAGGTCCACCTTAGCATTTCTGCCTAACTCAGTTGTTGGTTCAGAGCAGGCTGTGGGGCACCTGCTTCATATAAACAGATGGATTTTAGAGCACAGCAGCTGAGGCTGGAGGTCTGTTAAGCTCCCACACTCCAAGATCTGCATTTTCATGGCCACCATGTAGGTTAAAAGGTTCTGAAGTCCTTTTTGAAATGGGAAACAGGTGACTAATCCAAGCTGTCATTTTAAATTAGCAAGTGTTTATTGTTGCTTACAAAGAAGATAAGAGAAGGAAAGAAAGTACTCAATTTCTGTACTCAAGTTGCTTACATTTTCTAATCATGTGCTCCTTCACCTAAAATCAGCATGAGACTAGGGTTTAAGTTAATAGAGAAGTATAAATAGTTGAACTCTGGTTAACAAAATTTTGACCTCAGTGCCAATTGGACCAAGTTAATCAAAATAACTGTTATCCATATTTCAGCAAACCTCTTAAACATTCATGCTCCCTGGGGCATGATGTCCACCTAGTAAATGCCCAGCTTCAGACAAAGTTCTTGTTTTTCAAGGCCTGAGTAAATTAGGTGCTAAGAATTTTGAAAACTGTCATTTATCTGGGCCGCTAGGGAAAGTTCACATAATTGCATATAGTACTCCTTTCCTGATAAAGCAGCTTTGCATTTCATTTTCTCTGCCTCCTTGTTTGCTCTAAATCACTGAGGGGGTCAATGACGTTCATCTCTGTAACTACTCCACAGAAGGACAGTCATCTGTGTGGTTCTGATGCATGTTCCGATTGGGGACGAAGAGCCCTGAACACATTTGCAACCTTGAGAACTGCCTTGTGTGACAGTATCAGGGATCTCTATGCCCTAAATCTGAAGATTGGCCTGGCTGGAACAGAGCAAAAATCAGTACTCCTAGTATAGCTGTCCCTCCATCATTGTAGAATTCCTCGACTAGTGTTCATCTTAGAGGCTCTTCACCTTGAAGATTAGTATAACACGGAAAAGGGGGTTCTAGCTCTCTTGCTAGAGCTCATATTTTCTAGATGGTGCTAGCCAATCTGCTTAAAGCTTGAGGCTGAACATGAGCTTCTTTTTCATTTATTTTTTATTTATTTATTTATTTTTTTGAGACGGAGTCTCGCTCTGTCACTCAGGCTGGAGGGCAGTGGCGGGATCTCGGCTCACTGCAAGCTCCGCCTCCCGGGTTCACGCCATTCTCCTGCCTCAGCCTCCCAAGTAGCTGGGACTACAGGCGCCCGCCACTACGCCCGGCTAATTTTTTTGTATTTTTAGTAGAGACGGGGTTTCACCGTTTTAGCCGGGATGGTCTCGATCTCCTGACCTCGTGATCCGCCCGCCTCGGCCTCCCAAAGTGCTGGGATTACAGGCGTGAGCCACCGCGCCCGGCCTTTCATTTATTTTTAACACCAAAAACACATATTAGGTTTTCATTCCCTTGTGTGTACCCCACTCTCCATAAGAATCACTTTTATTTCTAGTCTCAAGGCAAAATCCTTGGATACATGGGGACTTCTCCCAAGGCTGCTTAAAAACTAGTGGTTCTAAGTCAAATCTCAGAGGTTTGCTAGGAGACAATAACAATAGGAATAAGAAATAGAATTATTTTCCTAAATATTTTTATTAATGGTGAATCTGAACAGATGGCTAGAAGTCATACGTAAAATGTACATGGGCAAGAATTTCAGGTTTTGTTTGTGTGATGTAAGCCCAATAAAGCTACAACTCATGGCATCTTAAAGGAAGTATGGAATACCTATCTTCTGTCAATGGCTAAAACTCTATAGTCCTGGACAGATGTTCCCATCTCTCCTAAATCATTGAAAATTTTATTACAAATAAATTAAGTGAAAAAATTTAGCTTTTAACTTCTCTCGGAGAGATTTCATAATGTCCTGAAAAGGAAAGTGTGACTTTAAGAGATGAGACTAGTATGATCTCAAGTACATTTTTAAAAATATACTTATGCATAGAAAAAACTCTCCAGACTCCAGGTTGTGCTTAAATAAAATTTGGGGGTGGTAAAAGTATGGGTGATTGTTATTTACTCCCTTTATTTTCTATAGTGGGTATGACTGATTTTTATTATTGGGGGAAATTAACTATTTAAGAAAGGAGAGTTAATTACTAAACCACAATAATTATGTGGCTTATGGAAGCAACTTCTTCATTTCATAGGCAGACAAACTCTACATTTAGGCAAATTGATCTGTAGTTGGGTCCTCTTCAATTCTTGTCTCATCTCTTTGACCTTAAGGACATACGACTGCCTGGGTGGTGTTTAAGGGAAATATGTTTTTTCAGCTATAAAAGAAAATTCCAGTTGTCAGGGATCCAAGCCTTATAAAAAGAAGGCTTTTGAGAAAGAAGCCACTTTCCCCACCCTCTGTGCATTCCACCGGGTGACCGGGACCATGTTAATGACAGAACTCCTGTGTGCAGACATGTGTGGAGAACTTCCTACAGTACAGGGTTGCTTTGTACGGAGATCCTGTGCCCCAGAGGCTGACGGCAGCTGTGTGCCCTTAGGTCAACATGAACAAATTCCCCTACAGAAAGGGAGCCCCACCAGATAGCTAAATGAAACCAACTCAACTAGGAAAGGCTAGAGCTGCTGTAAAGAGTCAAGAAGTTTGGAAATCTACAGAAGATAATCCTAGAAGTAACTAGCCTTCCTTTAAGACTCCTTTCTAACTTAAATTTGGTGTGGGAGGGGGGACTCTCACTGCATTTACCTTTTCTTTTTCAGCTGTCTTTGCCACATCACTGATCAAGCCTTGCTCTTAATAAGAGCTTCTTTGCCCTGTAGGTGATAGCCTTAGCTGGCCTTTAAGATCAAGGAGACAGAATTAGAAAAAAAGTCAAGGACACAAGCTGTGTGATATCATTTACTATGAACAAGGGAGAGAAAAGGCTCATTCTGTGACTGTAATGGAGACCCTGGCTTTAGGGGATTTACAGGAAGAGGCCTAGGAGATTACATCATCAGCTTCCAGATGGGGGAGTCTGGAAAGCATTAAAAAAAGAACTCTGGGTGGGCGTGGTGGCTCATGCCTGTAATCCCAGCACTTTGGAAGGCCAAGGTGGGTGGATCATCTGAGGTCAGGAGTTCGAGACCAGCCTGGCCAACATGGCAAACCCCATCTCTACTAAAAATACAAAAATTAGCTGGGTGTGGTGGTGGGCACCTGTAGTCCCAGCTACTTGGGAGGCTGAGGCGGAAGGATTGCTTGAACCCAGGAGGTGGAGGCTGCAGCAAGCCAAGATCACACCACTGTACTCTAGCCTGGGCAACAGAGGGAGAATGGGTCTCAGAAAAAAACACAAAAAAATAAAAAACAACAACAAAAGAACTCCAAAACTTCACAGTGTTGTAATTTTTCTCCTACCTGACTGTTAGAGCTTGGTAACCTCCCAAGACCTGGAGTCTCTGGGTATCAGAGGTGGGAGCAACATCAGAGATTATATATCCCAGGGATTCCAAAACTCAAGGTTTATAGGGGCCAGAAAACTGACATAAACAAGTGAAGAAGACTGGATATACGATAATTAGAAAAAGTAGGGGCTATAGCAAACCAGAAAGAATATGCATTTTTAGAAACACCATGTGGGCCAATGAAAACAAAACTACTGGCCAATGTTTTCATGTAGGTTGCCCATTTGTGACGTACAACTAATCCAAACTAGTTTTGTGAATGAAGAAATAGAGGCTCTGCGCGGTAAAGTGACTCACTGAAGGTCACACAGCCAAGTAGTGACAGAACCAATAATGGCCCCCGGACTCTTACGCCAAGGCTCTCCCCACCGTATCATGCCATCTCTCTACCTGCACCTTGGGTAGAAGTTGGGTGACTGGAGAAAGCATCTCCCTCCTATTATGAAAGCTGATGTTGGGAGCTTTAGTGAGATCCAGGGAACTTTTCCCAGTAACTCTACATAGATTCTGGTTTACCTAACAGGTCATGCCAGCTGTAAATACCACTATCATTTATGACTCTCTCATACTGCGAATTTCTTTCTTTGATAGCATATGAAGAGGTTCCCTTTATGGGGTCCCCCCGGGTATAACTTGGGAACCAGTTGTTCCTTAGTCCAAGACTTCAAGCAACAAAACCGTGATCTGAACATCAGTACAAGTTTTACTGCAGTTATCTTTAAATTTGCCCCTAAGATGTTGGAGGAATTAATTATTAGTTGTGAACACTGTGAAAACTGGGAATAAAGGAATCCATGGATTCACAAAATATTATAATTAATGAATACCTATCAATAAACCGTGAATAATAGGCATTCTTCACAGGTTATCAAGCTAAGGCATCATTCATGAGTAAGTACATCAGCTATTTTGCCAGAAATGTTCTCTTTGTAATTTGCTCATGAAAAGTTTGTCCTATGCAAAAAAAGTGCATTTTGTGCTTTTAAGAGAGTATCATTAATGTTTTTATATACCATGAGTTAGTAACGATGGATAATACATACTTAATTTCCATTCATAATTTCTTACCCTTGAAAATTTTTTCAAATTTCCTCGACCTTGGTTTCAAGGAGAATTTTGTCAGATAATATGTGTTTTTAGGAGGTTTCCTCTCCTACTGGTCTTCCATCCAAGAAATCAGTGCCCTTCTGATTTTCCACCTAGGAGAGACTCTTGATGCATAAATATCAAACATCTGCAGAGCTCAGGGTCTACACACAATAAGTGCTCAATAAGCATGTTGACTGAGTGAGTGACTGGCCACAGTTCCCTGAGTCTAGTCTGGAAGCACGGATGACGTAAGCACTCTAAGGTGGGAGGCCACATTAGCTCTTCAGGTAAATGGACAGAATCCCCTCTGGTAAGAAGACTTGGCTGGAGACCTTGATTTCTGAGACTGGGTTTGGATTTCCAGTCAATTTCTCAAGCCCTTTCAGTGACTGGTAGTGGTCTCATTGCTCAGTGATGATGGAGACTGGGTTCATAACTACAGTTCATTTCCTTTTGGACCATGTGTAAAATTTCCAAAGCTATTGGGCCTGAGAACAGAACAAAGCTATTGGGCCCGACACTCACAAACACACAGGTACAGCTTTGAAAAAGTTTAAATCCTAGCCAATAATTACAGCAAATATTTAAGCAGCAATTACACTGTGCCTGTACGTTATCTCATTGAATCCTCACAACTCTCTTAGGAGAGAGATACTATCAGTATGCCTATATTTAGGGGGAGAAATCAGAGGCAGATAAATAATTTATCCCAAATTATACTGATAAGTGGCAAGAGTTGGGATCTCGGTTCAAGTGTATCTGGTTCTAGAATGTGAGCCTTTAATCTCTATAATATATCGCCTCTCATCAATCATGGCTTTGCCACTTATTACCTCTGTAGTTTTAAATGAGTCCCTTGGCCTCTCTGGGACTTGGTTATCTCATCTTTAAAGTAAAGGTAGTCACATCCACTTTGCAGTGTGTACCTGAACAACAGCCTCTTCTTTGCTCTTCCCTCTGACTCTAACTATAAGGTTCAAAGGGAACTGATGTCTTCTTGCTTTCCCATGCCCGACCCCATTCATTGGCCAAAGAATGAGCACCTCACCTAGAGACCCCAATCAGAGTTGCCTATCGCTGTGGCCATAGATTTTTTTTACTCAAGCCAGGACAATTGAGCCCCTCTCTGGGATTTTAAAACATGGCACCAGAGAAGGTGAGCCCTAGGCCCCTGGTAAAGCGGAGAGATGGGAGCCAGACTACACTTCCCTGCAAGTGGAGAAAGCCTGTCAGAGAGAATGAAACCAACATAAAAATGAAAGCAGAGGGAATAGTCAGAGGGAAAAGAGCCAGGTCCACTCCCAAACTCTACTGGCTCTGCTGCCACTTCTCCAGTAGAGTTACGGAGCAAATAAATCCCCATTTATGCCCACACTAATCTGAGTTAAGTTTTTGTTACTGGCATACACACACACACACACACACACACACACAGATTGAGAGAGAGAGAGAGAAAGAGACAGAGCATGGGGCAGGCGGGATTCTGATAAGTCCATAGCATTGGGCCTAAGTAAGTCATATGAGCACATATAATGGAAATCTATTTATAAAGGATCCAGATTTGAGGTATATCTTTGTTTTTTATTTTTTTGTTTTTTGTTTGTTTGCCTCAAGAGAAGACTTGAGTAAGTTATATCACTATTGGAAATGATGTCGTCTAGAGTTTTCAGAACACAGCCTTTGGCTGCAGTGCCATAGATATGATGGTAATATCTTCCTGGCCCATCTCCTCCCAGTATAAACTATTGCTCTCATCATGGGCCTTTGGAATCTTGGCTTTCACCAACGGTGATATTTTTCCAGAGCGCTAATGTCAAATATCAGAGGGGCAGAAATTAAATAAATGTGAAATTTTCAAAAAAGCAGAAGACAATGATAATATTCAGGATTTCTCAAGATCACAAGTGTCAAAGACATTTTGTTCAATTTATTTTCAGTATCCTATTTCCTTAAAGACACTACCAGGATATGTTTTTATTTCTGTATTGTCAGTACCTGGAATTTGAACACACAAAAGATAGTGAGATGTTTCCAAGGGTCAAGCAAGATTGAGAAGTAGTTCTTTTCATCTCAACCACTTAGTATGTTATTTTTCATAACTCTTCCCTGCTGAAGATAGAAGACATGCATTTTTTTGTTGTTGTGTTTTGAAATTTTATAAATAAGGAATTAACCCAGAGAGGTTGCTCTACAGTCACAGAAGTAACATTGAGGGTATAATCCATGCCATTATATTATGGTTATTAGTCTAATAAACATTAGTTTACGTTTATTAGACTAGACTTGTATGTGTGTGATACATTACACACATACAAGTATCTCTTGCTTTCCAGACTATCACTTTTTGAATTTAAGGACCAAATAGATATGTATAAAATTTTAGATCTATGCTGTCCTCTCCTATTTATTCTCCCTTTGCTCTCCATCCAGATCCATTTTCCACCCTCCAGTGCCTACTCTAAGCCCCAGAGGCTGACAACTAGGATAGCATCCCCTGGGTTGCCTTGCCCTCCAGCTTCTAATTGGGCGTGGCCAATGGGAGATCAATGGTGAGCGTGTTTGGGGTATCTATTTCCCTCCTCTACTGTGATAAACACTGTTGGTGCCACACCCACATGCCTGTTTTTGAGCATCCATTTCCTGGTTTCTATGTCCTTTGTTTCTGTTGGCTGACACCTGCAGCTTTCCTCAGAAGCCCACTTTGGGCCACAGAGCCACTTCACCCAGTACAGGTAGACAGCTGGGGGGTGTCTGGAAGCTTATGTCACCTCTGGACATTAGCCAACCACTGAGGTAAGAGGTTGAAAACCAGCTCCCTTGCCTTGAGGTGGGAAAAACTCTGAAGGGTGATGACTCTGATATATGATTTCACGCCAGAGCAACCTCTGGGGTTGGGCTGGTGCTGGGACATTGCTTGAATCTGTAATTTGCAAGGCTTTCCCTCTTTCCCTGTCTTGGTTCCCTGTTTCTCTCATGTGTGTCTCCAGAGAGCACTTCCTCAATCATTCACTTACACGCAAATCCTTGCTTCAGAGTCTGCTTCTAGGGAACCACAACGAAGGCCTCTCCGATATCCATTTCCTTAGAGCCTGGCCACAACCTCAGCAGGGGCCGAGCCCCTCTACAGCCGCAGATCCTATTGGGTGGCCTTGGGAAAAACATTCCTTCTCTTTGTCCCTTTAGGACTAGGGATGTTAACTGCTTCCCATTGGTGCTAGTATTTGGGTTCCTGTTGGTTCCCTTAATCTTGCCCACCACTCTCTAGCTAACATTCTCTTTTACCCCTTTTTCATTAAACCCGTTGAATTAACCATTACTTTCTGACTGGGACCCTGATTGAGAATCCTCTCTGCTCCCCCTTCCAACTCTGCTACTCACTAGCTAAACGTCGAGAACCAAATTGATTCAGATAACAAGGCATCCCTTGCTATCCAAACTCTCTTGTCAAGAATCTCCCTATCTGAACTCAGAGAACCAACGATTTTGGACAGTGAGGATAATTACACACATACTCATATATACAGATGCACATATACACACACATACACACACGTATCTCATATAATTATTTTGAAAGTTATGCTGAGGACACTAAAAGAAGACAAGTGGTAGAAAATGCCTGAAAAATGTGAAATAGATTTCTGTTCTGCCCATGAAGGAATAGCTGTGACAGAATTACCTCCTTGACATATTCCATTAGAATAATGGACAAAATACATGAAACAACTGTTTGCAGTCTTTGGACAGAAAGCAAAGCAGGACTGTAATCTCTGGGAGAGGGGAAGCATATGATGTGAGCCCTCCTTATGACTACCCCAGTTACTTCCTGGAGGCAGTTTCCAGGCTGCAGGGCAGGAAAAAGGAAACCCAAACAGGTATAGCAGTCTCATTGAGTAAGGAGGTGGAGATCAGGTTTCAGGGAGGCCAGGGCAAAGGACCAGAAATGAGGGAGACACACAGACAGAGCACTGTGGAGCTCTGCAGAAGGGCCCCTTCGAATCTTTGACTGCTGCTGACCTGTGCATGTGTGGGGTAAAACTATGACGCTGGAAAAAGAAAAGCCAGAAAGAAGTAAGCTCAGTAATTCTTGGAGTTTACACACGGCTGGGAAATGTTCGCTTTTCCATCAGTCAGAGTAAAGAGGCCTCATAATACACAGGGAATTGGGCTGAGCCCTCAAAGTGCATTTTCTAGTTGAGCTAAATTAACCCTAAAACAAAGCCAGGACCCAGCCTAACAAAGCTCTGGACCCAGCCTAACAAAAGCTTAAAAACAAGGCTTGAAAGAATTAAACTGTTTCCAAGTAACTTAACTGCCTATCAGAACAAGGTCCACACTTATTAAAAGAATTCAACAAAATCTGGCACCCATAAACAACAACAACAAAAAACAAACAAAATTATATCTACAATGGCTGTCACCTAGTAAAAAGTTACCAGGCAAGAAGAAGAGAAAAATATGACCCATAGTCAGGCTAATAATCAATCAATATGAACAAAATTAGAGATGACAGAGATTATGGAATTAGAAAAGACCTGAACCAGTTATTAGAGGTATGTGCCATGTGCTTGAAAATGTAAAGCAAAACATGAATATAACAACAAGAGAAATGGAAGATATTTTTTAACAGACTCAAGTGGAACATCTAGATATGAAAATATATTCTAAATAAAAAATACACTGAATAAAAGTAACAGCAGACTAATACTATAAAATAAAAAATTAGTGAACATAAAGACCCAACAACAAAAATTACCCAAAATGAAGCACAGGGAGAAAAAAATATTTTTAAAAAATTAATAGGCTGGGCTCTGTAACTCATGCCTGTAATGTCAGTGCTTTGGGAGGCCAAGGCAGGAGGATTGCTTCAGTCCAGTAGCTTGAGACCAGCCTGGGAACATAGTAAGACTCTATATCTACAAAAAATGAAAAAATTAGCTGGGCATGGTGGCATGCACCTATAATCCCAGCTACTGGGGAGGCTAAAGTGGGAGGATTGCTTGAGTCCGAAAGTTACAGGCTGCAGTGACCTATGACCACACCAGTCCAGCCTGGGCAACAGAATGAGACTCTGAAGAAAGAAAGAAAAAGAAAGAGAGAAAGAGGGAAGGAAGGAAGGAAGGAAGGAAGGGAAGGAGGAAGGGAGGAAGGTAGGAAGGAAGGGAGTGAGGGCTCCATGACATTTGGGGAAATATCAAGTTGTCTAAAATATAGTAAATGCAGTTCTAAGAGTAGAGGAGAGAAGGAAAACAAATATTTGAAGAACTAATAAATAATAGTTGAAATTTCCAAAATTTATGAAAAGTGGTAAATGTATAGACCTTAGAATCTCAACAAAACTCAAATGGAATAAACATAAAGAAAAATACATAAAAGCACATTATAGTTAACTTGGTGAAAAACAGTAATAAAAAGCAGCCAGAGAAAAGAAACCCCTTTACGTGTCAAGAAACAAGGTAGCATTAGAGCGTATTTCTTGTAAGAAACTATGCAAGCCAGGAGACAATGAAGTGACATCTTAAAGGACTGAAAGAAAAAACAACGGTCAATGTAGAATTATATTCCCACCAAAAATATCTTTCACAACAAAGACAAAATAAAGACTTTTTCATACAAACAAAAGTCAGTAGACCTCCACTGCAAGACATGCTAAAGGAAATTCTTCAGGCAGAAGGAAACTGATGTCAGTGGAGAATTTGGATCTAACAAAGGAGTAAAAAACAGGAAATGGAAAATATGAGGATATACATAAAAACCTTTTTTTCTCATTCTTTAATTGTAGGAGTTTTAGCACATGCAGCGATAAAGCCAATGACAATAATACTACCAAGGACTAAAGAGGAGATAAATGAAAGAATCTCATACCATATGCAGAGTTGAAGGTAGACTATGATAAGCTAAAGATAAATTCTAGAAGCCAGCACAGTGGCTCATGCCTGTAATCCCAGCAATCTGGGAGGCCAAGGCAGATGGATCATCTGAGGTCAGGAGTTTGAGACGAGCCTGGCCAACATGGCGAAACCCCGTCTCTACTAAAAGTACAAAAATTAGCTGGGCGTGGTGGCAGGTGCCTGTAATCCCAGCTACTCAGGAGACTAAGGCAGGAGAATTGCTTGAACCTGGGAGGCGGAGGTTGCAGTGAGCTGAGATCACACGACTGCACTCCAGCCTGGGCAACAAGAACAATACTCTGTCTAAAAAAAAATTCTAGAGCAGTCACTAAAAATAAGCAATAACAACAACAAAACTAAAGAAGCACAGCTAATAAACCAATGGTGGAGATAAAATGAGATCATAAAAAAATAAAGTTAGAAAAGGGGGTAAAAGAGGAAGAAAGAAACAAAGAACAGATAAGACAAATAGAAAACAAACAGCAGCATGACATTTTAAAACCATATCAATTATTACATCAAACATAAATCGTCTAAACACTCCAATTAAAAGGGAAATTATCAGTGTGGATTAAAAGACAAGACAAATTATATATTATCTGTAAAGAACCCACTTTAAGTAAAACAACACAGCTAGATTGAAAGAAATGGATGATAAAAAATGACTATGTAAACATTAACAAAAAGAAAACTATAGTGACTATATTAATATCAAGCAAAGTCAGCTTTAGAACAAGGACTATTACTGGAGATGAAAAGGAACATTACATAATTATAAAGAAGTCAATTAATTAAGACATCACAATAATCCTTAACATGTATTCATCCAGTAACAAAGTTCCAAAATACATGAAGCAAAAACTGATAAAATTTAAAAAATAGACAAACTCACAATTATATTTGGATATTTTAATACTCTTCTATTGGGAATTGATAGAACAAGTTGGCAAAAATCAGCAAGCACATAAATGACTTGAACAACACTATCAACAAACATGACCTAGTTGATGTTTACAGAATGCTTATACCCAACAACAGCAGAACCCGTCACAATTATAGCTCATATTCTGGGCCAAAAAAAAAAAAAAAAAAAAAAGTGGAAGTCTCAATGGGCTAAATAAATAAAAAAGAATTCAAATAATACAGAGTATGTTTTCTGACCACAGTGGAATTATTCTAGAAATCAAATAGCAAGCCATCTGGAAAATCCTTAAATACATGAAAATAAATAACACACTTCTAAATAACCCATAGCTCAAATAAGAAATAACAAAAAGAAATTAGAAAATATTTTCATAGGATAAAATTAAAAATACGACACATCAAAATCTGTGGGATGCAGCAATAGTGCTTAGAGAGAAATTTATAGCATTAATTACTTATATTAGAAGAAAATAAAAGTCTTAAGTCCATAGTCTAAGTGTCCATCTTTTTCTTTGAAAAGATAAATACAATTATGAACTCCTAGCCAGACTGATCAAGAAGAGAGAAGAAATTAAATAACAATATCAGGAATAAAAGAGGGGTCATCACTCTAGATCTTATGGTCATTAAAAGGTAATAAAGGAATATTGTAAATAAATTTCTGACAACAAATTTCATAACCTAGAAGACATGGAGAAATTTCTTCAAAGACACAAATTGCCAAAGCTTAGTAAAGGAGAAAGAAATAACCTGACTAAATTTAACTCCCAAACTAATTTTCTGTAACCAGCTTTACCCTGATACCAAAACCAGGCAAAGCCATTACATTAAAAGAAAACTACAGGCCAATCTCTCTCATGAATATAAATGCAAAATTACCAAAATTTGATCAAACTGAATCTAACAATTTATGAAAATAATACATCAAGACTAATGACAATTATTCTAGCATTATTTACAATAGCAAACTTTAAAATGATCCATCTATCAACAGGAGAATAGCTAAATAAATTAAAGATATTAGTATAGCCAGTAAATATGACATATAGAAAAAAATGACATTAGGAAATGCTAACAATATAACTAGAAAAAGTAAATATGCTATGCTCTCAACACGTAATACAGTGAACATAGGGGAGAAATATACCAGATGTTACAAAGCCTTGTAGTAGGCCCTGGAGGTGCCCTGCCCAGTTGCCTCTTACCCCAACTGCTGAGAATGTTGGCTAATGGCTTCGTAAGAATTCCCTTTGTCGGCTGGACGCGGTGGCTCACGCCTGTAATCCCAGCACTTTGGGAGGCCAAGGCGGGTGGATCACGAGGTCAGGAGATCAAGACCATCCTGGCTAACACGGTGAAACCCCGTCTCTACTAAAAATACAAAAAATTAACCGGGCATGGTGGCGGGCACCTGTAGTCCCAGCTACTCAGGAGGCTGAGGCAGGAGAATTGCTTGAACCCGGAAGGCAGAGGTTGCAGTGAGCCAAGATTGCACCACTGCACTCCAGCCTGGGCGACAGAGCGAGACTCTGTCTTAAAAAAAAAAAAAAAAAAAAAAAGAATTCCCTTTGTCCACAGGAGGCAGTATGCAAACTGATATAAATGCTCAGCCCTCTTGACTCAAACGAACTCTGTGGTGCCACTCACATCCTAGAGCTCCCTGTGGGATCAGGCCAAGGCAGGATTTCAGCTGAAACTGCTTTAGGATTCTTTCCCTGCTGTAACCTACTTTCCTCACTCTCTTACAGGTTTTACCTAAGAGCACTCCCTCAGTAAATCACTTGCCTCTTCTTAGGCTTCTTCAAGGCAACCTGACCTAAGGCAATGCCCAAAAGTGATTCTGGGACCAGACTCTAATGATGGGATCCTGGAATTGGTTAACTCATCATATAGATGACAATGAGGACTTCCTCATTGGTGGTAGGTATTGGTAACTCCTAGCATGCTGTGATAAAACAATTGCTAAAACTTTCACCTGCAGAGAGAAGGGATGGAATATCGGGGAAAGGGATGCACTAGTTTGTGCCTTGTCTCTGGCACTTGAAAGATACGAAGAATTAACTCTTAAGTACTGTGAAATTGAGTAGCTAAATCAAGGCAAAGTGTGAGTGCCAAGGGGACTCCTGGACATTTCCTTTTCCCAGAGGGCATAGTGAGCTGAATGCCATGCACAATTATTGTAAGAGAAGTAGAATTTTAGGAGAAGCAGAACTCTAAGAGAAGCTGAATTCTGTGTAGGGAAGCCCTATGTCAAAGTCAGAGGTCTGATAGGGAAGGTGTGGTAGTCTGAGGCTTAGGATAGAGATATATAGGTAGACGCCCCTGAGAACCTCGATCCACCTGAACATTCTGGGCTTGCAGAAGTATCCCTCCTCCTTGTTTGAATATTATGCAAATGGCTTATAAGATAATGCTTTTCCTCCTCAGGATCTGCCCTTACCTCTCCTCCGGGCATGCTCACTAATAACTAGGTTCTAAGCTAAATGTGACCTGACTAGGGAATGCTGAGTCTGCCAAGGAAGGAGAGGAGTTACATGCTGAAGGAGCTGCAATACCTGGATTACATTTACCAGCAGGAATCAGGAGTGTTTCCGGGAGAAGATCTTGAGGGTGCCATATCCAGGGGAGTAGAGTGTAATATAAAGCTGCATAATAGCTTGCCAGTATGTGGAAAATTTCCCGTAACACTGGATTTAATATCGCAGGGGCCACAGGAGCCAGATTATATTAATCTGCTGCTAAGAAGACCCCTGGAATAAAAAAGGAATGACCCACCTTAAAAGAAGTATGGCATGGAAGAAGGAATCAAAAAGCACAGCAAACTGAGCCAGCTGGAAAGAATCTACAATATAAGACTAGAAAACCAACTGGCTAACAATGTGTCCTGGAAAAGTGTTATGAACTGAATTGTGCCTGCCCCCCAGACTCATTTGTTGAAGCCCTGACCCCCAGTGTGACTGTATTTGGAGATAGGAAATTTAAGGAGGGAATTAAGGTCAAATGAGGTCATAATGTGGGGCCCTAATCTAATAAAACTGGTGCCCTTATAAGAGGAAGAGACACCAGAGATCTGTCTCTCTCTGCACGCATGCACGGAAGAAAGACCATATGAGGACACAGCAAGGAGGCAGCAATTTGCAAGCCAGGGGGAGAAGCCTCACTAGAAACCCAACCTCTTGGCATGTTTATTGGATTTCCAACCTCCAGAACTGTGAGAAAATAAATTTCTGTTGCTTTAGCCACCCAATCTGTAGTATTTTGCATGGCAGAACTAGCAGACAAATACAGAGGGCCGGCCTGGTGCAGTGGCTCACGCCTGTAATCCCAGCACTTTGGGAGGCTGAGGTGGGCAGATCACCTGAGGTGAGGAGTTCGAGACCAGCCTGGCCAACATGGTGAAATCCTGTCTCTACTAAAAATACAAAAATTAGCCAGGTGTGGTGGCAGGTGCCTGTAATCCCAGCTACTTGGGAGGCCGAGGCAGGAGAATTGCTTGAACCCAGGAGGTGGAGGTTACAGTGAGCCGAGATTGCACCATTGCACTCCAGCCTGGGCAACAAGAGTAAGACTTCATCGCCAAAAAAAAAAAAAAAAAAAAGCAGAGGGCCTGGAGGATGCTCTAATGTCTAAGGCAAGAAAAATGATGGTGAGAGAGCCACCAGCATCACTGAGAAGCTCAGTAGTAGCTGTCCTGTATAGCAGGGACATCCAACCCCTGGGCCACGAACCCGTTAGGAACTGGGCCGCACAGTGAGAAGTGAGCAACGGGCAACCAAGCATTATTGCCTGAGCTCCGCCTTCTATCAGATCAGGGATGGCATTAGATTCTCATAGAAGCATGAACCCTGTTGTTAACTGCACACTCAAGGGATCTTGGTAATGCACTCCTGATGAGAAGCTAATGCCTGATGATCTGAGGTGGAACAGTTTCATCCTGAAACCATCCCCCACCACCTATATCCATGGAAAAACTGTCTTCCGCACAACCAGTCCTTGGTGCTAAAAATGTTGGCAACCGCTGCTTTATAGCTAAGGACTTTACAGCACTGGGCTTCCTAATAACAACAGATATAGGGTCTGGGAAAGCAGAAGCCAAATGGAAACACGACCATCAGAGCAAGGACATAAGGCAGGACATAATGGGCAGTCAGGAAGGTCTGATCCACAAGGATCTATGGAGCTGACAAATAGAATGCAGTGTTCCTAGGGACAAGATAGATAGGCAGCTGGTGAGGATTTCTGTCTATCTATAAATCAAAATCTCTTTGTCATCAATTTTCCAATCATGTTTCTTCCAATTTCCCAAACCAATTCTGTGAGTATTTCCCCAGTTCCAGAATACATAATTGGAGTGGACATATTTAGCAGCTGACAGAAACTCAACATCAATTCCCTGACCTAGGGAAAGTCTATTACGGTGGGAAAGCCTATAGTGGAAGCCATTAAAAATGCCTCTACCTAGGAAAATAGTAAACCAAAAGCAATACATTTCTGGGGGGATTGCAGAAATTAGCGCCATCATCAAGGACTTGAAAGACACAGGCATGGTGATTCCTATCACATCCCCATTCAACTTGCCTATTTGGTGTGTGCAGAAGATAGATGGATCTTGGAGAATGACAGTGAATTATATTGTAAGCTTAACCAGGTTGTGGCTTCAATTGCACTTGCTGTCCCAGATGTGGTTTCATTGCTTGAGCAAATTAACACATCCCCTGGTACCTGGTATGCAGCTATTAATCTAGTAAGTGCATTATTCTCTATACCTGTCCACCAGAGGCAGTTTGCTTTCAGCTGGAAAGACCAGCAATACACCTTCACTGTCCTACCTAAGAAGGTTATCAACCCTCCAGTCCTATGTCATAATTTAATTAACAGATCTTGATTGATTTTCCCTTCCACAAGATATCAAACTGATGACATCATACTGACTGTACCTAGTGAGCGAGTCGCAATTACTTCTGACTCTTTGGTAAGATATTTGCATGTCAGAGGATAGGAAATAAATTCAGCGAAATTTCAGGGGTCCTCTACCTCAGTGAAATTCCTGGTGTCCAGTAGTATGGGGCATGTTGAAATCTCCCATGAAAGGTGAAGAACTAGTTGTTGCATTTGGCCCTTCCTACAACCAAGAAAGAAGCACAACACCCACCGGGATTTTGGAGGCAATGTATTTCTTATTTGAGTGTGTTACTCTGGCCCATTTACTTAGTGGCCTTAAAAGCTGCTAGTTTTAGTGGGGTTCAAAACAAAAGAAGGCTCTGCAGCAGGTCCAGGCTGCTGTGCAAGCTGCCCTGCCACTTAGGCCATATGATCTAGCAGCTCCAATGGTGCTTGAAGGGTCAGTAGAAGTTAGGGATGCTGTTTGCAGCCTTTGGAAGGTCCCCCTAAGTGAATTGCAACACAGGCCCTTAAGATATTGCAGCAAGGCCCTGCCATCCTCTGCAGATAACTACTCTCCTTTTGAGAAGCAGCTCTTGGCCTGCTACTGGGTCTTAATAGAGACTAAATGCTTAACTGTGAGCAACCAAATTACAATGCAACCCGAGCTGCCCTTTATCATGTCTGACCCAACATGCTATAAAGCTAAGCATGCATAACAACACTTCTAAACCCTAGGGCTCAGAGTACTGCAGCAGATCATTGGTGTTACTTCCGTGGAGCGTAGCGAGCCAACTAAATACTTTGACGCCAGTGGGAATGGCGATAATTATAGTAGCGGAGGTGAAGTAGGCTCGTGTATCTACGTCTATTCCTACTGTAAATATGGGGTGGGCCCATACAATAAATCCTAGGAAACCAATTGATATCATGGCTCAGACTATATCCATATATCCGAACCCGTTAGGAACTGGGCCGCACAGCGGGAAGTGAGCAGCGGGCAACCAAGCATTATTGCCTGAGCTCCGCCTTCTATCAGATCAGGGATGGCATTAGATTCTCACAGAAGCATGAACCCTATTGTTAACTGCACACTCAAGGGATCTCGGTAATGCACTCCTGATGAGAAGCTAATGCCTGATGATCTGAGGTGGAACAGTTTCATCCTGAAACCACCTCCACCACCTATCCATGGAAAAACTGTCTTCCGCACAACCAGTCCTTGGTGCTAAAAATGTTGGCAATTCACCAAAGGGAAGTGGTACATATGTGAGTGATCGCAAGGAGGCTCTGAGGGTACAAATGAATCACGTGAAAAAGTGACCCAAATTCCCATGGTTTCCACTACTGCCTTCTCTGTCTCTCAGCCTGTACCTAAGGCCATCTGGGGAGTTGCCTAGAATCAGTTGACAGAGAAAGAAAAGACTCAGGCCTGGTTTACAGAAGGTTCTGCACAATATGCAGGCACCGCCCAAAATTAACAGCTGTGGCACTACCTCCTTTCTCTGGGACATCTCCAAAGACAGGAAAATCAATCCCTGGAAGAGAAATACAGTGGGTGGAACTTCAGACTCTGCATCTGGTTGTTTACTTTGCTTGGAAGAAGAAGAAATGTGCCATTATGTACCAATTCATGGGCTGTGGCCAATTGTTTGTCTGGATGATCAGGGACTTGGAAGGAACATGATTGAAAAATTGGCAATGAAGAAATTTGGGGAAGACGTATGTTTATAGACTTCCCTTAATCAGCAAAAAAAAAAAAAAAAAAAAGTGCTCCATGTGAATGCTCAACAAAGGATGATGATGGTTAATTTTGAGTGTCAACATAACTGAATTATGGGATACCCAGAAAAACTCAGATAGCTGGTAATGCACTATTTATTCTCAATCATTGCATTAATTATTCTCAATGCTTATATGGGCACTGAGCTTCTTGTGCTGAAAGGGAAACCCAGGTGGTTTGGCATTTGATTAGAAAGACCAGGCTACCCCAGCTATGTCTGTGAGAGTGTTTCTACAGGAGACTAGCATACAAGTTGGTGGACTGAGTGGGAAAGATCTACTCTTAATGTGGGTAGAAACCATCCAGTCAGCTAAGGGTCCAGATGGAATAAAAAGCTGGCAGAAGAATGAATTCTTGCATTCTCTTCTGGAGCCTGTATGCCCTTCTTTTCCTGCCCTTGGATGTCCAGATTCTCTGGGTTTTGGACTCCAGATTCTCTGACTTTTGGACTCCTGGATTCACACCTTGACTCCTAGGCTCTCAGGCCTTCAGCCTTGGACTGAGAGTTACACCATTGGCTTTCTTGGTTCTGAGGACTTTGACTTGGATTGAACCATGCTACTGCCTTCCCTAGTTCTCCATCTTGCAGACAGCTTATTGTGGAACTTCTCAGCCTCCATAATCAAGTGAGCCAATTACCTGAATAAATTCATTCTTCTCTCTCTCTTTGTCTCTCTCTCTCTCTCTCTCTCTCTCTCTCTCTCTCTCTCTCTCTATATATATATATATATATATATATATATATATATATATATATATTATGGGTTTTGGACTGATTTTATATATAAAATCAGTTCTGTCTCTTTGGAAACCCTGGCTAAAACAGTGAACTCAGCAGAGGGGGATGTTAATAATCAAATGAATGGAATGACCCATTTTTATGGACATCAGTCAGCCTCTTTCCCTAGTTACCCCTGTCATCACCCAAAGCATCTATAAATAAAGTGGGCATGGTGGCAGGAATAGAGGTTACATATGGCCTCAGCAACATGGATTTTCACTAATCAAAGCCATCCTTCTACAGCCACCACGGACTGTCCAATCTACCAGCAGCAAGACCAACACTGATTCTCCAATATGGCACCATTCCCTAGGGAGATTAGCCAGCTACCTGATGGCAGGTTGATTACATTGGATTGCTTCCCTCATGGAAGTAACAGTGTTTTGGACTTGGATTAGACATTTACTTTGAATATGAATTTGCCTTCTCTGAATGCAATGCTTCTGCCAAAATAACCATTCATGGATTTACAGAATGCCTTATCTACTATCATGGTATTCCACACAGAATTGCTTTTAATCAAAGAGCACACTTCACAGCAAAAGAAGTACAGCAATGGGTCTATGCTTATGGAATTCAGTGGTCTTATCATATTCCCCACAATCTAGAAGCAACTGGTTTGAGGGAACGGTGGAATGGTCTTTTTAAGACTCAGTTACAGTGACAGCCAGGTAGCAATACTTTGTAGGGCTGGATCAAGGTTCTCCAGAAGACTATGTTGCTCTGAATCAGCATCCACTATATGGTATTGTTTCTCCTCTAGCCAGAATTCATAGGTCCAGGAATCAAGGGCTGGAAATGGGAATAATACCACTCACTGTTACCCCTTATGACACACGGCCAGAATTTCTGCTTCCTGTTCTCACTACTTTATGTTCTGATGACCTAGAGGTGACTTTATGTTCTGATGACCTAGTTCCAGAGGGAAGAATGTTCCCAACAGAAAAGACAGCAATGATTTCATTGAACTGAAAGTTAAGGCTGCCAGCCCCACATGTTGGGCTCCTTGTGCCTCTGAATCAATAGGTTAAGGAGTTACAGTGTTGGCTGGGGTGATTAATCCTGACTACCAAGAAGGATTTTGGAGTACTACTCCGCAATAGAGGTAAGGAGATTATGTCTGAAATATAGGAGATAACTTAAGGCATCTTTTAGTATTTCCATGTCCTGTGATTAACATTAATTAAAAACTGCAAAAACTCAATCCAGGAAAGACTACTAATGGGCCAGACCTTTTAAGAATGGAGGTTTGGGTCACCCCGCCGGGTAAACCACAATTGGCTGGATGCAGTGGCGCACGCCTGTAATCCAGCACTTTGGAAGGCCGAGGCGGGCAGATCACCTGAGGTCAGGAGTTTGAGACCAGTCTGGCCAACATGGCAAAACTCTGTCTCTATTAAAAATACAAAAATTAGCTGGGTGTGGTGGTGCCTGTAATTCCAGCTACTCAGGAGGCTGAGGCAGGGAGAATGGCTTGAACCCGGGAGGCAGAAGTTGCAGTCAGCTGAGATCGCGCCATTGCACTCCAGCCTGGGTGACAGAGTGAGACTGTGTCTCAAAAAAAATTAAAAAAAGAACCACAATCAGCTGAGGTACTCGCTGAAAGCAAAGGGAACACAGAATGGGTAATGGAGGAAGGTAGCTATAAATACCAGCTACAACCATATGACCAGTTACAGAAACTAGGACTGTAATTATCATAAGTATTTCCTCCTTATTTTGTTATGAATATATTTGTGTTTGTGTATATGTATGTATCTTTTTTTTTTCTTTCCTCTCTTATTCTCCTATCATCATAAGATGTACGGACTTTATATCATGGCATTTAAATATTGGTAATTTTATATCATAATATTTAAGTTGCAGATCAAGAAGAGTAAATATCACTCAAAGATTTTATCTGCTCTTCTGGCAAAGGGGTTAGTGCATTTTTGGTTGTATCAGGATAGTTGTGTCATGTTAGGCAGAATTATGATCTTCTTAATGTCTTTATTTGGAGATTAGGTATAATTTAGGGAGATGTCTATGGGTACCAGGTCGACAGGGAGTGGACTTGTGATGTTTAATTTTATTTGACAATTTGACCGGGCCACAAGATACCCAAATACACATTTGGGTATCTGGGTGGGTCTGTGAGTGTTTCTGGAAGAGGTTAGCATTTGAACTGGTGAACTGAATAAAGCGTAGAGTCCATATGGTCCTCCCCAGCATGGGTGGGCATCATCTAATCTGTTGAAGGCCTGAAGAGAACAAAAGGCAGAAGGAGGAATCTGTCCCTTTCGTTTCCTGCCTCACTGCTTGAGCTGGAGCATGTTTTCTCATCTTCTCCTGCCCTCAGATTGGGATTTACGCTATTGACTCTTCTGGTTCTCAGGCCTTCAGACTTGAACTGAATTGTCCCACCAGCTTCCCTGCTTGCAGATGGTAGATCATGAGCCTTCTCAGCTTTCATGATCATGTAAACCAATTCCTCATAATAAATAAATATCCTATTGATTCCATTTATTTGGAGAACCCTGAATAACACACTCTGTCTATTTCATTTTCCTCTAAAATAGATGAAGAACAGATGGGTAGAAGACTGTTGAGCTGCCCAGTAAAAAGAGAAAATCTCTTGTCCCATTTCCTGACCTGCGCCAGTTCTCAGAACCAGAATGCGTCAATGAATAGGTCAGTTTCCCATAAGAAAGGATCCTGCAACACCACAGCAGGAGATTCAATAACAATTCCTTCAGTCCTTCCCCCAAAGAGGCTTATGACAATTTAGTTAAGAAACCATACCTTGAGGAAAAGAGAATAACCAAGTCTTTTTGAGCGATACAGGGTCCAGTGATTTCCTGAGAAATCTACTCAAAGAATTTTTTTTTTTTTTTTTTTTTTGAGATGGAGTTTCACTCTTGTTGCCCAGGCAGGAGTGCAATGGCACGATCTCGGCTCACCGCAACCTCCACCTCCCGGGAACAAGTGATTCTCCTGCCTCAGCCCCCCAAGTAGCTGGGATTACAGACATGCGCCACCAAGCCCGGCTAATTTTGTATTTTTAGTAGAGATGAGGTTTCTCCATGTTGGTTAGGCTGGTCTTGAATTCCCGACCTCAGGTGATCCACCTGTCTCGGCCTCCCAAAGTGCTGGAATCACAGGCATGAGCCACCGCGCCCGGCCTATACCCAAAGAAGATTTTATTCAGTCTAGGAATTCTCTTCCTAGGTATTTACCCAAAGAAAATGAAACATATATGTATAAATAGCCCAGTACAATAAAGTTATAACTACTTTAGCCATAATAGCCAAATACCAAACAACCCAAATATCTGCGGTATAACAGAGAATATATCTTGGCTGGGCACAGTGACTCTACGCCTGTAATCCCACCACTTTGGAGGCTAAAGCAGGCAGATTGCTTGAGCCCAGGAGTTTGAGACCAGCCTGGGCAACATGGCAAAACCCCTGTCTCTACAAAAATACAAAAATTAGCCAAGTGTGGTGGCCCACACCTGTAGTCCCAGCTACTCAGGAGGCTGAGACGTGGGAGGATCACTTGAGCCTGGGAGGTCAAGGTTGCAGTGAGCTATGATGGTTCCACTGCACTCAAGCCTGGATGATAGAACAAGACCCCATCTTCCCATATTCAATTACCTTTAAGAATTGGCCTATAAAACTCATTCTGAGACAGCCTCTGTCAAGTCCAGGATGGACAGACAACAATGACTACACAGAGTTAGAGAAGCCTAGTTTTTCCTTGAGATCACAACTCTGTTGCCTCACTCCATCAAGCAGCCAGGGGTGTGCCTTGTAATCAGGGAGTAATAAGTTATTCGAAAGCCCTTTTTCAGTGTTCCTCATGTCCCTATTCACATCATTTGAGAGGATAGCTGATCTTCTGAATGCATTTAATTTCTTTCTGAAGGGTGCTTCTGGGCATAGCAGGATAGCTGCAAGCAATTTCTCCTATACAATCAGGGTTGACCTTCAGAAAGAAGAGAAGCAAAATTTTTTCCCTAGAAAAAGAGTTATGAGAGTTCCCAGATGTATAGATTTAGAAACATTTTGCTAGTCTTTGTCAGCTCAGCAGAATATTCTCTTAGTTATAATTGGGGAGGAGGGGGGTAGGGAGATTCTCGTACCTAAAATGGTTAGCTTTTAGGAAGGCCTTCTAATGTATTTAAGAGTTCCCACCTTACTGTAGCACATTTCAAACCATATTAAAGTTGCCCTATTTTTTCTATATTTTCTTACAAACCTCCAATACAATCAAACAGTTGGTCTGATCTCACCTCTTATAAGAATGAAAGGAACAAGCAGGCAGTCAGGCAAGAAAACAGACAGGCATATAAAGAAAGAAAACTACCATCTACATTGACTATAAACCTTCTCTAATCACATAAAAAATGTTTGCCATTGTGGCTCTGGAGCTAGCTACGCTTGACAGTTGCATTTACCCACTTCTGTCAGATTGCATCACTTGTTTCAAATGCTCTGCCCTTGTTAGATACTTTTCCACTGGGAAACCTTTTGTAATGAGAGTAACCTTATTATTAATAGTAAAGCATGGTGACTCATTTTTTGAATTGATGTATGTTGAAAGGACCAAGCACTGTTATTGGAAGTGAGTGGCTGAGTCCCTAGATCAGACAGAACGAACCCCTCCAGCAGGGCCAGCACATAAGCAGAGGTGTCCATTAATAGATGAATGAATTTTTTAAATATGGTGCATACATACATATACATATATATTTTATATATATACATATATAATATATTATATATACACACACACATACACACAATGGAATACTATTCAGCCTTAAAGAAGAAGGAAATCCTGTCATTTGCAACCTGGAGGAAATTATGCTAAGACAAATAAGCCAGACACAGAAAGACAGATACTGCATGATCTCATATGTGGAATCTAAGAAAGTTAAATTAATAGAAGCAGAAAGTAGAACAATGTTTTCCAGGGATGGATGTTGGGGTAAGAAGATATTAGTTACAGGGTACAAAGTTTCAATTAGACGATATCAGCAAGCTCTGGAGATCTATTGTACAATATGGTGACTATGGTTAATAATACTGTTTTATATACTTGAGATTTGCAAAGACAATAGATCTTGCATTTTCTTATTACATACACACAAAATGATAACTAAGTTGATAGATATGTTAATTAACTGAATTGCAGTAATCATTTCACAATGTATACATATATCAAAACATCATGTTGTATGCTTTAAAAATATACAATTTTTATTTGTCAGTTACACATCTGTAAAGCTGAGGGAAAACCACAATGCCTCTCTCCTATAAGACAAATAGAAATTCAATTGATTCTTGTTATTCACAATAGCTAAGTTAAATAAAGTCACTGCAAATACTGAATTAGTGAATTGTAAACCATTGATCCTAGGGGAAATACAAGGCTAGGTTCCTGCAAGCCTCTGATCCCAACATTTTTGTCAACTTATCAGTATATAACCTTGTTTTCTCTTTCTCTTTAAACACACCTTATTTAATATATATTATTGAATTATTAACATATAAATCACAGCCAACAGCACTGTAACGATACCTGAATAAAGCTTATCTAACACATGAATTTTCTCTATATGACACATCACAGCCTTCTTGCACTTAGGAACACTAGAGAGTACTTCAGCAGTATGCTAGGGGGCCATCTTAAACAGCAAAATCAACAAAAAGCACAAAAATGCAAAAAGCATTGCACTAAATAGAGCAAGAGAAAGACACTGTTTACATTATGAGCTGAAACAAGAATGCAGAGTATTGCCTTGTTTGACCTCAGCTGGGAAAGTGCTTGTTGAGCAACTCAAATTTTTCACAACCCTGTGCACATCCAAGAATGATCAGGAATGTGCTATAAGTGTAAATTTTGATGCCACAAATAATTATAGTGAGTAGGTGAACTTACAATATGGAATCTGTGAATAATGAGGATTGACTGTACGTGCATACTTGTATTTTGTACTTTGGGAAAACCTCCTTCGTATTCACTGCATTCTCCTTTAGATTGTCAAGGGGGTGGCTGGTCCAGTGGCCATTGCATATTAGAGGCCTTTGCGTGTTAGTGGTGGTCACATGGTCACCTTTCCCACGACTTCTGGATTTCTTGTCTGGGGCTTAATTTCTTTATTTCAGGGCTTTGATCCCCAGTAAAATGTAAATCTCCATAAGACATGACATTTTAAGATATCATCAGTCACTCTTTGATATGAATAAATGAAGTTGAGAACTTCTGTGGGTAAAAAGGCTATGAAAGGGAGAGTTTGGACTCAGCCATCCCCTTCGAGTATTGACCACCTTCTTGCCACACTGCCTTAGTTGTCTAATAACCTTCCACTTCTTCCTATCACTTCAATTAAGAGGCTTTCTACAGCCACAGCTCCAGCTAGTAACTATCGTGAGCTCCAAGCCACCCTGTGAATGTATCTCTATCAGTTTAAAAATAGAATACATAGAATGGAATTAATCATCCTCCATCCCCGAACCCAGGTCTTCTGACTACTATCCAAGTAAAAGAGACTTCCTTTTCTTAGTCACCCAGCCTAGACATCTTAGTGTTATTTGCAATACCTTTCTTTTCTCCACATTTACTCAATAAACACATACAACTAGCCCCTTCTCTACGTGTCTCTTCTAACTCACCTTTTCCATTTCTCCTGCCTTTCTACAATAACCCTTTGGTTAACCCTCTTTCCCAGCCCTTGTCTATCCCACGTCTTTTTCTTTTCTTTTCTTTTCTTTTCTTTTTTTTTTTTGAGACAGAGTCTCGCTCTGTCGCCCAGGTTGGAGTGCAGTGGTGCGATCTCGGCTCACTGCAAGCTCCGCCTCCCGGTTTCAAGCAGTTCTCCTGCCTCAGCCTCCTGAGTAGCTGGGACTACAGGCACGTGCCACCACACCCGGCTGATTTTTTGTATTTTTAGTAGAGACGGGGTTTCACCGTGTTAGCCAGGATGGTCTCCATCTCCTGACCTCGTGATCCGCCCGCCTCGGCCTCCCTATCCCACTTCTAATTAATCTGTACATCGATGGTGTAACCTTCTGAAACTGGTGCCACTCAGGTCCAAAAGGACTCCTCACTATACAACACATGCAAAAAGTCTCATTCCCTTTTGTGACATTCAAAGCCCTCAATAATCTCAAGTAGCTAACTTCCCACTCTCTTCTCCCTCCTAACCTCGCCCTGATTATATGTGTTGCAATGCTCAAACAAATGCTAGAGTGATTATTTTTCAAACCTCAAATCAGAACACTTACTTCTATAATGAAAGGAGTAGTTGTGAGGCTATTGAGAAAGGATACTTTCAATCCTTATGGTACTGGAAAAGTCTGGGTCTTTTTCTGTAATTCCTCCTCAGTTCTTTCCTGCCTCTGTGTCACCATGTTTTCTGCCTAGAAGCATCCTTTACGTCCTCATTCTCCTCACTCCCATTACCCAGCCTATTGATAGTCCATGTGTTTGCCCAGGCCTGGATCTAATGCACACTCTCCACTGTATGGTTCAATTTCTCTGTACCGTATGCTCTCAAGTCACTTCCAAAATCCTTTATATATTTTCCTTGCATTAAAGAAGTGTGTATGTGTGTGCATATGTGTTTTATTTACCTTTAAGTTCCTCTTAGCATCTAGTTATAATAAACTATTCCTGTGTCTGTTTTGTAATAAGCACTCCTATTACCTCACTTCATTCTCACAGCAAACATCTCATATATTATTGCCATTTTACAATTGAGGAAATTACATCTCATGATGGCTAAGTAATTTGCCCAGATTCACATGGTTAGAAAATGATGGGCCTGGAATTCAAACCCAGGTATCTGTGGCATCAGAGTTCCGCAGCTGGGCGCGGTGGCTCAGGCCTGTAATCCCAGCACTTTGGGAGGCCGAGGCGGGTGGATCATGAGACCAGAAGATCGAGACCATCCTGACTAATAAGGCGAAACCCCGTCTCTACTAAAAGTACAAAAAATTAGCTGAGCATGGTGGCGGGAGGCTGTATTCCCACCTACTCGGGAGGCTGAGGCAGGAGAATGGCCTGAACCCGGGAGGCGGAGCTTGCAGTGAGCCGAGATCGCGCCACTGCACTCCAGCCTGGGCGACAGAGCAAGACTCCGTCTCAAGAGAAAAAAGAGTTCTGCACACACAGGAAGTGCTGAAAATACGGTCTTTTCAAAAATTGCATCGAATCAGTTGCACCAAAAGAGAAGGGAATCATTCTGCAAAAGACGTTAGAATGGAGAAAATTAGTGGCCTGATATTTTTTTTTCATAACAAGGAAGATACCAAACAATTGATTAGATTTCAAAGGTCATTGTGGATAAAGTATGTGGAAAATGAATGAGAGCAGAGAATTAAAAAAAATAATAAAAGCTTTGTTCAAAATGCATTTCCTGTCTCCTTTATCAGACGTGGACCTTTCCCCTTCTGCTGCTTGCTGGGCAGTTGCTCAGATATCACGGCACACACTGAGTCACACACTGAGTCAGCAGCAGCAGCAGCAGCAGCAGCAGCAGCAGTGTTCTGCTCTTTCAGCAGACCACCACAGGGTGCAGGCCATCACCTTAAGGGCCCCATGGGCCCTGGGCTCATCCCCACACCATCCACTTATCTACCTCCACGTCACATACCTATCCCCAGAGAGAGCTGTCACCTTGGATACAAAATGACCTTCCACCGAAGAGGACCAGACAGCAAAACTTACGCTGCTCCATGTGAAGTGTTCTGGGAAAAAAGGCCAATTGTAAAGGGACAGCAAGTCTTAAGTGTCCTTGGAAAATGTTCTCTGTCTCCTCTTGGCGTAGGAAAGGGCCCAAGCTTTTCTTCCCGGCAGAGACTGAAATGGGGAGCGGTATCACAGTTATTACTGCCATTAATATTAATGTACGGATCCCACTTCTCTCACCCATCTTGATGACCTTATAATGGGTTCATTGCAGGTCTGTCTAGTCTAAGGCTTCCAGAGTGAAATTGCTTCATCAAATTTGGACTTTCTTGATGAGATGCCTCTGGCTTCCTTGTGTGATCAGTTCTCATGAAGTTGAAAGCAGGCTGCTATTCCATTTTAATTTCTTTTTCTTTTTTCTCCTCCCCCTTAGGGATTTTGGATAAAAGAGTTTATTAGCTGGCTTGACTGGCTTGTCTTCCCAAAGCCTGAAACCATACTTCAAACTTAGCTGAGGCCCTTTCTTTGTGAGCATGCCAGTTAGGGAAGCACAGGACAGCAGGTGTAAACTCTGTTCAAGTCATCTTTCCTGCACAAAGTTTGAGAACAAACCCCACTAGGCGAGCAAGTGATGTTCCCAACAGCAGAAAACACTGAGAGAATGATCAGTTTCATAGTCTGAATGCAATTCCACAATCTATTTTCCACAATTCTAAAGTCCAAAAATCTCTGAAAAAAATGCTTCTTTTTTAAAAAAAAGCTTCATTAGTTCATCTAGTCCCAACAAAAAATTTTTCTTTTGTTTTGCTTATAGATCTGTAGCAAGCTCATTTGGCAATAAACTCTGAAACTATTCATAATCTGTACAATCTTTATCTCATTTAGTATGAATATTTACATGTTATGCTGCAAAAATTACTATGTTTAATTATAAGGTGTTCCCTGATGGAATGTATGTGTGTGTGTTCAAATATTTATCTGGAATATTCTAAATTTCAAAATACATACATCTGCAAGAATTATAGGTAAGGAATTGTGTAGACCCATAGTATAAAAAAGAATATCCATTTCACTTGGGCAGTTCTTTAAAAATTATAAAAAATCTCTCCTTAATGCCTGTATCAGCCAGGGTTCTCTAGAGGGACAGAACTAATAGGATATATGTATACATGAAAGGGAGTTTATTAAGGAGAACTGACTCACACGATCACACGGTAAAGTCCCACATAGGCCGTCTGCAAGTTAAGGAGCAAGGAAGCCAGTGGGTGGATCAGTCCAAGTCCCAAAACCTCAAAAGGAGGGAAGCTGACAGTTCAGGCTTCAGTCTGTGGCCAAAGACTGGAGATCCTTTGGCAAACCATTGATTTAAGTCCAAGAGTCCAAAAGCTGAAGAACTTGGAGTCTGATGCTCGAGGGCAGGAAGCATCCAACATGGGAGAAAGATGAAGGCTGTAAGACTCAGTGAGTCTGCTCTTCCATCTTCTCCTGCCTGCTTTATTCTAGCCACACTGGCAGCTGATTAGATGGTGCCCACCCAAATTGAGGGTGGGTCTGCCTCCCCTAGTCCACTGACTCAAATATTAATTTCCTTTGTCAACACCCTCACAGACACACCCAGGAACAATACTTTGCATCCTTCAATCCAATCAAGTTGACACTCAATATTAACTATCACAATGACTTCATGAAAGGTTTTATCTCACCTCTATGTCCATGACATTTCTATTTCTTTCTTTCACTGGGTTGGAACTTGCTTGCTGGCTTAAGAAAAGCCACTTTATTGTCATGAAACCGTCCTAGACTATGAGGTGGGAGGCCTGGAAAAAATCAGGCCTTTAAACTTTAAACTTCAGTTTCCTCATTTGTGAAATGTGAATGAAAATTCCAGTCTTGAATTTCTTCCAGGGCAGGTTTGAGACTCAAATTGGAAGACTCTTTGAAATGAGAAACCACCATAAAAGTATCAGATATAATTATCAAAGCCAAGCCACATGATTATTCAATTGATGTCCTTTACAAAATTCTTCCTGATTTAACAAAAAATACAAGCAGACTGGGTGCAGTGGCTCATGCCTGTAATCCCAACACTTTGAGAGGCAGAGGCGGAAGGATTGCTTGAGTTCAGGAGTTCAAGACCAGTTTGGGCAACATGGCAAAACCCCATCTCTACAAAAAATAGAAAAATTAGCCAAGCATGGTGGGGCATGCCTGTAGTCCAAACAACTTGGGAGGCTGAGGTGGGAAGATTGTTTGAGCCCAAGGAGATTGAGGCTGCAGTGAGCCATGATCACACCACTGCACTCCAGCCTGGGCAACAGAGCAAGATCCTATCTCTAAAATAAATAAATAAATACATAAATAAATAAAATGCTTGTTCAGGATCTGAAGGGAATTAAAATTTTAAAAATGCTTCATTAGTTTGGGCTGGGCGCCGTGGCTCACGCCTGTAATCCCAGCACTTTGGGAGGCCAAGACGGGTGGATCATGAGGGCAGGAGATCGAGACCATCCTGGCTAACATGGTGAAACCCTGTCTCTAACAAAAAAATACAAAAAATTAGCTGGGCATGGTGGCGGGCACCTGTAGTCCCAGCTACACGGGAAGCTGAGGCAGGAGAATGGCGTGAATCTGGGAGGCGGAGCTTGCAGTAAGCCAAAATTGCACCACTGCACTCCAGCCTGGGTGACAGAGCGAAAATCCATCTGAAAAAAAAAAAAAAAAATTCATTAGTTCATCTAGGCCCAACTTCATCATCAATTTGTGAGTCTTGAGGTCCTCTCAGTTTTATTGATCACCATACCTGGAAAAATCATGAATATATCTTTGTATGCACCTAAAAGCACAGGAACATGTGTGCTTAGATTGTATTAGGATTGAAATATTCCAGACTAAGAGCTTCTGGTCCTTTGATTAATAAATGTCTTTGGGGCCGGGCACGGTGACTCATGCCTGTAATCCCAGCACTGTGGGAGGCCGAAGCTGGTGGATCACGAGGCCAGGAGTTCAAGACCAGCCTGGCCAACATAGTGAAGCCCCATCTCTACTAAAAATACAAAAAATAGCCAGGCAAGGTGGCATGTGCCTGTAGTCCCAGCTACTCAGGAGGCTGAGGCAGGAGAATTGCTTGAACCCAGGAGGTGGAGGTTGTGGTGAGCCGAGATCACACCACTGCACTCCAGCCTGGGCAACAGAGCAAGACTCTGTCTCAAAAAATAATAATAATAATAAATAAAACAAAACAAAAAAATAAAAAATAAATGTCTTTGGTAATATCAATGGATTAAAAAATTCTTTTCTACTTTAGAAAGAGAGCAAGAATAAGAGAAAAAATTTTTGCCAACAGACAACTAACACAGCTGTACATGGTAATTAATTGTAAGTGGTTTATGTTAGTGGATCAAAGGAACACCCTCAATAAAGCAGATAAGATCCTAGTCCCAGGCTGAAACTGTAGTGGGCAGAAACCAGCCCAACAAAACCAGATACAAAGAGTTAGAGGAAAAGACTAATAGCAAAGGGCAGGAAATCCAGAAGTAAATCCCTAGGGCTTTTAGCTAATTTAGGTTTACCTTCCACAGGGCAAATACTCTCTTTGTTCTCAGAGTTTTAAAATATGCATGTGTGGGACAGATCCATGAGTTAGCTATCTTACAGAAGGACTTCAAGGAGGCTTAGAATAAAATATAACAACAATGATAATCTGCAATTTATTGTCTACCCACTATGTGCTGGGCACTTAAGTACATTATCTCATGTAATCTTCACACCATCTCTACATGGTAGGTATGATTATCATCCTCGTGTATTCTGCCTATCTATTGCTGTTCAACAAACCACCCTAAAACTCAGTGACTTAAAACAATAATTCCTTATTTTCTGTCATGATTCTGTGGGCTAACTGGGCTCAGCTGAGTGGTTCTCTCTTGGCATTTCAGGCAGCAGGTGTAACAAGTAACTGGGGCTACAGACATCTGATGACTTAACTGTGCCTGATATTCTTGATGGCTTCTTTACTTCTCTCTGGCATGAGTAAACATCCTAAGCTGGGGTAGTTGTAATATCTAGGGGCTGCCTTGGTATCTCTTCTTTCTCCAGGTCATCTCCATAGGCAAGCTTGGGCTTCCCCAAACCATGGCAGTCTCAGGACAGTCAGATTTCCTTGTTTTCTTTCTTTCTTTCTTTTTAAATTTAAGTTCTGGGATACATGTGCAGAATATGCAGTTTTGTTACATAGGTATATGTGTACCATGGTGGTTTGCTCTACCTATCAACCCGTTATCTAGGTTTTAATCCCTGCATGCATTAGGTATTTGTCCTAATGCTCTCCCTCCCCTTACCCCCACAGCCTGACAGGCCCTGGTGTGTGTTGTTCCCTCCCTGTGTCCATGTTGTTCTCATTGTTCAACTCCCACTTATGAATGAGAACACGTGGTGTTTGGTTTTCTATTCCTGTGTTAGTTTGCTGAGAATGATGGCTTCCAGCTTCATCCATGTCCCTGCAAAGGACATGATCTCATTTTTTATGGCTGCATAGTAGTCCATGGTGTATATACGCCACATTTTCTTTATCCAGTCTATCATTGATGGGCATTTGGGATGGTTCCAAGTCCTTGCTATTGTGAAAAGTACTGCAATAAACATACATGTGCATGTGTCTTTATAATGATTTATAATCCTTTGGGTATATACTTAGTAATGGGATTGCTGGGTCAAATGGTATTTCTGGTTCTAGATCCTCGAGGAATAGCCACACTGTCTTCCACAATGGTTGAACTAATTTACATTCCCACCAACAGTGTAAAAGTGTTCCTATTTCTCCACAGCCTCACCAGCATCTATTGTTTCCTGACTTTTTAATAATCACCATTCTGACTGGCATGAGATAGTATCTCATTTTGGTTTTGATTTGCATTTCTCTAATGATCAGTGATGATGAGCTTTTTTTCATTTCTTTGTTGGCCACATAAATGTCTTCTTTTGTGAAGTGTCTGTTCATATCCTTTGCCCACTTTTTGATGGGGTTGTTTGTTTTTTCTTGTAAATTTAAGTTCCTTGTAGATTCTGGATATTAGACCTTTGTCAGATGGGTGGATTGCAAAAAATTTTCTCTCATTCTGTAGGTTGCCTGTTCACTCTGATGATAATTTCTTTTGCTGTGCAGAAGCTCTTTAGTTTAATTAGATCCCATTTGTCAATTTTGGCTTTTGTTGCAATTGCTTTTGGTGTTTTAGTCATGAAGTCTTTGCTCATGCCTATGTCCTGAGTGGTATTGCTTATATTTTCTTCAAGGGTTTATATGGGTTTGGGCTTAATTTTTATATAAGGTGTAAGGAAGGGGTACAGTTTCAGTTTTCTGCATATGACTAGACAATTTTCCTAGCACTATTTATTAAATAGGAAATCCTTTCCCCATTGCCTGTTTTTGTCAGGTTTGTCGAAGATCTGATGGTTGTAGATGTGTGGTGTTATTTCCGAGGTCTCTGTTCTATTCCATTGGTCTACATACCTGTTTTTGTACCAGTACCATGCTGTTTTGGTTACTGTAGCCTAGTAGTATTGTTTGAAGTCAGGTAGTGTGACTTTGTTCTTTTTGCTTAGGATTGTCTTGGCTATATGGGCTCTTTTTTGGTTCCATATGAAATTTAAAGTAGTTTTTTCTAATTCTGCAAAAAGTCAATGGTAGCTTGATGGGAATAGCATCGAATCTCTACACTACTTTGGGCAGTATGGCCATTTTCACAATATTGATTCTTCCTATCCATGAGCATGGAATTTTTTCCCATTTGTTTGTGTCCCCTCTTATTTCCTTGAGCAGTGGTTTGTAGTTCTCCTTAAAGAGGCCCTTCACATCCCTTGTAAGTTGTATTCCTAGATATTTTATTCTCTTTGTAACAATTGTGAATGGGAGTTCATTCATGATTTGGTTTTCTGCTTGTCTATTGTTGGTGTATAGGAATACTTGTGATTTTTGCACATTGATTTTGTATCCTCAGACTTTGCTGAAGTTGCTTATCAGCTTAAGGGGTTTTGGGGCTGAGACAATGGGGTTTTCTGAATATAGAATCATGTCATCTGCAAAGAGAGACAATTTGACTTCCTCTCTTCCTATATGAGTATCCTTTATTTCTTTCGCTTGCCTGAATCCAGGAGCTGACATTTTCAAAAAAATTAACAAAATAGGTAGACTGCTAGCTAGACTAATAAAGAAGAAAAGAAAGAAGGATCAAATAGACACAATAAAAAATGATAAAGGGGATATCACCGCTGATCCCACAGAAATACAAACTACCATCAGAGAATACTATAAACACCTCTATGCAAATAAACTAGAAAATCTAGAAGAAATGGATAAATTCCTGGACACATACACCCTCCCAAGACTAAGCCAGGAAGAAGTTGAATCCCTGCATGGACCAATAACAAGTTCTGAAATTGAGGCAGTAATTAATAGCCTACCAACCGAAAAAAGCCCAGGACCAAACAGATTCACAGCCGAATTCTATCAGAGGTACAAAAAGGACCTGGTACCATTCTTTCTGAAACTATTCCAAACAATTGAAAAAGACAGATTCCTCCCTAACTCATTTTATGAAGCCAGCATCATCCTGATACCAAAACCTTGCAGAGACACAACAGAAAAAGAAAACCTCAGGCTAATATCCCTGATGAACATCGATGCGAAAATCCTCAGTAAAATACTGGCAAGCTGAATCCGGCAGCACATCAAAAAGCTTATCCACCACGATCAAGTTGGCTTAATCCCTGGGATGCAAGGCTGGTTCAACATAAGCAAATCAATAAACATAATCCACCACATAAACAGAAGCAATGACAAAAGCCACATGATTATCTCAATAGATACAGAAAAGACCTTTGATAAAATTCAACATCCCTTCAGGTTAAAAACTCTCAATAAACTAGGCATTGATGGAATATATCACAAAATAATAAGGGCTATTTATGACAAACCCATAGACAATATCTTATTGAATGGGCAAAAGCTGGAAGCATTCCTTTTGAAAACCAGCACAAGATAAGGATGCCCTGTCTCTCCACTCCTATTCAACAGACTTCTTATGTGGCAGCTTTCTTCCCCTAGACTGAATGTTCCAAGGGAACTAGGTGGAAGCTGTAAGGTTTCTTATGATCTAGCCTCAGAAGTCACGCTAAGTCACTGCCATCAATTCTAGTGGTTAAACGTGAGTCACAGATCAACCCCAGAGGAGGGACTTATAGAAAGATGTAGATACTAAGAGGTGTGGCTCATTGAGGGACCAACTTTAGAAACTAGCAAATATATATATTTACTTATAGCAAAAAAATATAAATTTTACATCAAATCATGTTACAAAGGAGAGAATTAAAGCTTTGCAAGATTAGGCTACTTGTTCAAGATCAAAGATCTTGCAAGTAGTCAAGAGGGTGTTCAAATCCATTTCTCTATAATTCTACTATATGCTAGTCTCTATATACTAAGCAAAATTATCAGCAGGAAATGAATTAATTTACTAAAACAGTATTTATTAAAGCATTGTACAAAAAAAGGCATGATATATGATTTGCATCTTTTAAAATCTCTAGCAGGCTGGAGTGTAGAGTAAAAATAACATTGGGTTTAGAGGTAGAAGCTCAGTTTGAATCCTGAGTCTGCAACTCCAGGCAATTCATTTAAACTCTTTGAGACTCTGTTTCTTCCAAGGTAAAATGGAGATAAAAAATGCCTTTCCTACAGTATTGACATTAAAAATAAAATAAAACAAGCTATGTAAGCATGATCTTGTTAGTGACAGTTTAACTGAGAAGAAATCATGGACCCATGAAAGGTTATATAACAATGTGAAAGAGGACAGTGCCTCTTCCTGAGATGTGTACCTGTTGAGACTTGATGGGCATCAGCCAAGAGTATGCTAGAAGTGCCTGGCATGGTGCCTCCATGCCTGTAATCCCAGCACTTTGAGGGGCCAAGGCAGGAAGATCTCTTGAGCTCAGGAGTTCAAGAGCATCCTGGGCAACAAAGTGAGACCCCGCACCCACATCTCAACAACAACAGCAACAACAAAAAAAGAAAAAGAAAAAAACCACCATGAAAAAAATGAGTGCACTAGAAGTGAGTCCTGCAATTGCTGAGACATCGTACTACACATTCTGTGAAGCTCCTTCCATCCCTGTACTGTCTGACACTTTATGTTCCTCTGGGAAATTCAAACAATCCTTGACTGTAGCAAGCATTCCTTTCCTTCACATGGTGGCAAACCACCATTTTGTCAGGAACTATATGATGTGAAAGTCCCAAACAGCCAAGTCTTTAGAAATCCACTCCTTAATTTTATTTTTCACCTTGGCTTCTAAATGTTTCATGTGGATAGATCACTTGAGAATGAAATACTGTAGAAGTGCAAGAGAAGTTGTAGCTGAGCTCTAGTTTGAGCTTGAACTCAAGTTAAATTAAACTTAAGTTGAATTAAACTTAATTTGAATTAAACTTAATTAAACTCAAGCTCAAACTAGAGTTCAGCTACAACTGATTGACAAACGGGGATCAGACTCCAGTAACAAAGTCCTGCAGGCAGAGATGGGTGGAGGCAGAGATGGGTGGGGACAGAGGGGAACAGCCCAAGTTGAATCCCAAGTTGGACCAATCAACCAGATCTGAACTATGGGAAGAGGGTACAGCAGCTACACGTGGGAGGTCAATAACTCAAACTCACAAAGATTTTCTGTGATTCTCTGGGGAACAAGCAGTTGGCTTTCAGGACCAGGTGGCACATGAGGACAAAGGAGGATTTGACCCCTTTCTCCTTTCTTTCTGTAACTCCTTGTGGCTGGCACAGAGAAGCCTGTTTGGGTACTAAGGATGTTACATAGGAAAGGGCAGGAAACTTTTGAACTGTGAGAAGTAATGTGAATGCCACCTTGTTTGCATGGATGTGAGTAAAGTCAGGATACAGAACAGCTGACTTTTCACACAGTTGTAAGCTGTGTATGGCAATATTTCTCAAACCTCTTTCCAAGGATTCACTTTACTCCTTTTCCATAGATGCGTGTTTTATTTTTATTTTATTTCAATAGTTTTGGGGTACAAGAGGTTTTTGTTTACATGGATGAATTATATAGTAGTGAATTCTGAGATTTTAGTGCACCTGTGCACCCATGTTTTAAATACTACTACCCATGACCCACAAAACAACTGTAACTTTTAAAAGTTTTTTATATTTTATATTTCAGTGTTTAATTCAGTGATTTTTTAATTATATTCACAAAGTAATAATCATCATTGCTATCTAATTCCATAACGTTTTTATCACACCAAAATGAAACCCATTAGCAGTCACTCCCCATTCCCCTCTCCCCGCAGTCCCTGGCAACCATTCATCAGCTTTCTGCCTATGGATCTGCCCATTCTGGATACTGCATATAAATTGAATCATATAATATATGGTCTTTTCTGTCTGGATTCTTTCACTTATCATAATGTTTTCAAGGTTCATCCCTCTTGTGGCCTATATCTGTACTTCATCTTTTTTTCTTGACAGGATATTATTCCATTATATGAATATACCACATTTTGTTTATCCACTCACCTTCAACTATTTCTACTTTTGGACTACTATGAACAATGCTGCTATGAATATTTATACACACATTTTTGTGTGGATGTATGCTATCAGTTATCTTGGGTATAAACCTAGCAGTGGAATTTCTGGTTCACGTGGTAATTCTGTATCTTAACATCTTGAGAAACAGCCAAACTGTTTCAAATCAAACACTTTAATCAATAATTTTTATTTTTTTCTTAATAAACCTCTAGATATTAATCAGTCCTTCTAAACAGTATGTGATAATTCTTGTTACTATATTGAATTCTTATCTTTTTAGCCAAAAGCAGAGAAATTTGCTGTATAATCTATACAGGCTAATTTCTGGCAAGTGACAGTTTTTTTAAGATTGTTGAAATACTGACAACAGCTTGAGAACTCTCACTAGAGTACCTTTAAAAGTCCACAGGGGTTGAGAACTCCAGGCTGGGAACACAGCAAAGAGTAAAAACAGGTTCTGGAAACTGGAAATATTTTACTATAATTTAGGACACCCCCTATAATTTAGGACACCTATTCTCTTCTGTCTCTTATTCCTCAACTGAAGGCCTTTTTCTCCCCCGCTAAAAACCTCAACAAACAGTGAATTGATTGTTACCATATTTTAGGGTTTCATAGACTAATAAAAAGTTTTTTTAAACTACGAACTTACATGTTTGCCAAATTTCTATTTTGCCAAATAAAACATTACAAAACTATGTCGTATCACTATGATTTTGTTAAAGAAAAGAAAACCCCCCAAAAGTAGACACTAGACTAAAATACTGTTCTAAAATTTTGTTTTAATAATTAAAAAAAAACAATCATTTATTTTTCTCATTTTGTTATAGACTAGTGAAAACTCATGGACTAGAAAGATCAGATAATACAAAGTAGGCATAGAATAATTAAGTCTAGTGGGTGTATTAAAGTTAATATAAGTATAAATGTCCCTAAATTCACCCACCTTGCTCTTGTTAAGGAAATGCTAGCTCTTTCTAGTGAAATTGTTTCTCCTCTAGCCCTTCCTTTCCTAGAAAGCTAGATTTTTCTGCCACATGATTCCTGGGCTTTTATGATTTGATAGTGTGAAAAACTAGTGGGAGAAAGGTCAGTAAGGGATAATTTTAAAAGGTTAAGTTGATCTATATGACAACTGGGAAGGAGGGAGTGAAGAATATCGAGAAAGAAGAATAAAAATTCTCCTGGCTGAGGATAGTTTTCTTTGGGCGAGGGCGGTGTTGGGATAGATTCCAGAATATGCGTGGTGTGGAACATTTAGGGATCACAATATAAATAAATAAAATATAAAATATTACTTGGATAAAACAGGTTTTCTTTACTATTTTTAGAAATATTAAACAAAAAGATTGGAATTCCTTTCTTTAAAAAATATCTAGACTGGACCTAGTGATCTAAGAGTCATACGGGTCATATAAAATTGGATAGCAGATTATGTTCGGCTTTCAGACTATCAATCTTCTGTTACAATTGGCATTTCTTCACATCTTCTCCAAGACACTTTGATTCTATTCTCTGTCTCCTAAGTGAAATTTTCTCTCAGGAAATTTATTTGTACAAAGATAGTATACATGACTGTGTAGATGTGAATAATTATTCTTTCAGGGCACCAGGCAGGTAATTGTAAAGGCAGTCTTTATTCCTTAATTTATTGATTTGTTCATTCATTTAAAAAACACTTTTGACTGGGCGCGGTGGCTCATGCCTGTAATCCCAGCACTTTGGGAGGCCGAGGTGGGTGGATCACCTGAGGTCGAGAGTTTGAGACCAGGCTGACCAACATGGAGAAACCCTATCTCTGCTAAAAATACAAAATTAGCCGGGCATGGTGACGCATGCCTGTAATCCCAGCTACTCGGGAGGCTGAGGGAGGAGAATCGCTTGAACCTGGGAAGAGGAGGTTGCAGTGAGCCGAGATCACATCATTGCACTCCAGCCTGGGCAACAAGAGTGAAACTCCGTCTCAAAATAAATAAATTAATTAATTAAATAAAAAAAAATAAATAAAAGACACTTTTGAGTATCATCTAAGTGAAAAGATTTTGCCTAAGGGATAGCTAGATGTACAGATAAAATTAATACCTGGGCCTTGAGTTTAAAAATGGTTGTCTCCAGACATGTAAACATAAGAAATTAAAATAACGCACAGTAGCAGTATTACAGTCACAGAAATGAGAAGGTGGGGCAGGGAAGCAGCAGAGTTCAATAAAGACTTCCTGGAAGAGGTGACAACTGAATTTAAGAAGGTAAATAAAAGCATATCAGTCAGCCTTGGGTGCCGAGAACATTCCTAGAAGAGAGAACAGGAAAGAGTGAACTATTAACAGACAGTAAATATAAGATGGAAGATGAGACAGGAGAAGTGTTCAGGCGACAGAGCACGAAGGTGGATGTGGGACTTTTTCAAGGGTCTGACAGTCAGTGAGGAGATTCACTCCAAGGGTCATAATATAATTTGCATTTTGAAAGCTCACTGTGGTAAGGCTGAGAAGGACAAATTCAAGAGCAGATTAGACATGCAGAGGCCAATCAGCAGCTCTTGCAACCTTCTAGGTGAGAAAGAATCCAGAGAAGTGATATAAAGACAGTCAATTGGGATTGAGAAAGGGAGAGATCAATTTTGACTGGGAAGATCTGAGAAGACATCTGGGAAGTGGGATTTGACCATCTTTGGCTGCCTTGAAAGAAGGGGACTTCAAAGGCCCAACAAAAGGAAATGGGAACTCCTTGGAGATAGTCTGTATTGGTGCTAAACCCCCAATGTCGACCAGAGATCAAGTCATGTAGCAGACTCTTAGGTCATGTTTAATGGATGAATGGGAAGGAAATTCAAGAGTGTACCAGTTATCTCTTGTTTCATATTAACCCACGCCAAAACTAAGTGACTTCAAATAACAGCCATTGATTTTTGCTTGCCTGTCTACAGATAAGAGAGATAGCTCTGCTACTCTGGGCTAGGCTTGGCTGATCTCACTTCAGCAGTTATCACTCACTCAAGCAACTGCAGTCCCCTGGCAGGTCCATCACTGGCTGGATGGCTAACCTGTTGAGGGAGAGGGTGACTGTGCCACATGAGTCTTTTTTTTTTTTTTTTTTTTTTTTTTTGAGGCGGAGTCTCTCTCTGTCGCCGAGGCTGGAGTGCAGTGGCGTGATCTCGGCTCACTGCAAGCTCCGCCTCCATTCTCTTGCCTCAGCCTCCTGAGTAGCTGGGACTACAGGCACCCGCCACCCCGCCCGGCTAATTTTTTTGTATTTTTAGTAGAGACGGGGTTTCACTGTGTTAGCCAGGATGGTCTCCATCTCCTGACCTCGTGATCCGCCCACCTTGGCCTCCCAAAGTGCTGGGATTACAGGTGTGAGCCACTGCGCCCAGCCTGTGCCACATGGGCCTTATCATCCCACTAGGTTAGCCTGGCTTGTCCCTGTGGTGACACCAGAGCTCCAAGTGAGTGAACGAAAGTAAGCAAGACTTCTGAACACTTATGCTCAGAACTGGCACTGCATCACTTCTGCTCCATTCTGCTGGCCAAAGCAAGTCACAAGACCACTCCAGGTTTAAGGGGTAGGAAAAAGCTCCACTTCTTGATGAAGTCACATTCCAAAGGATTGTGGATACAGTGAGGATAATAATTGCAGCCATTTTTACGATCTCCCACACAGGCAGAAGGCAGAGGCTGAGCAAGGGTTAGGAGCTGGACCACACTGGCCACAACCAGGAGGGTCTGGACTGACAGTGATGACTTATGTACAGGCTTGGTGGGAGCCAGGGGATGTAGTAGAAGACTGAGCTGGATAAGAATGTAGGGTCCAGACTGTATAGGATGTTGAAGGCCAGGCTAAGGATGTTTGGACTGTGTTCTCCACTCCCTGGAAGGCTATCAAAAGTTTTTGAGATGAGGCCGGGTGCAGTGGCTCACACCTGTAATCTCAGCACTTTGAGAGACTGAGGCGGAAGGATTACTTGAGTCTACGAGTTCAAGACCAGCCTGGGCAACATAGCATGATCCAGTCTACAAAAATTAAAAAGTTAGCTGGGTGTGGTGGTGCACTTCTGTAGTCCCAGCTACTCTGGAGGCTAAGGAAGGAGGATAGCTTGAGCCCAAGAGGCTGAGGCTGCAGCGTGCCATGATCATTTCAGTGCCCTCCAGCATGGGCAACAGAGCGAGACCCTGTCTCTATTTAAAAAAAATAAAAAGGTTTTCAGATTGGAAACACCAACCCAGAAGTAGGTCCAGGTTTACTGAGATCACCACACATGGAAAGATCACAACATTCTCAACAATGTGCCACATATTTGCCAGCCCAAGCTATTTTTAGCTACTTCTTTCTCTCCTTTGGAAGTATCTTGATACTAAAATGAATGCAATTAGCAACTTATATTTGTGGGATATAAATGTTAACCCTTATGGAAGAACGAAGTTGCTATTTTCAAAGCACAATCATAATCAGTTTTGAACTTTAAGTACACTCAACCTGTCCCTTGGACAGCCCTTGAACTAACCCAGGTGTTTCCCATCTCTGCTTTGCAGTCTTAGGAAGTTAAGTTAAAAAAAGCTAGCAACAGAGTAGTAGCTCCTGAGTCCTTGGGATGTGGATAAGTGTGGATCCTAAGTCATCTTAAATGACAAAGTCCTTGCCCTCCATGGATAACCTATCTCCATTGATCCTTAAGGTGTTCATAAATGACAAAATAGATATCACCCATGCTAAAAATGGCAGCATTTCAGACAGTTCAGCTCTGTGAGGTGAAGTCATGGGATGCTCCTCTCCTGACTTTTCATGTAATTGATTCCTGTACCTCTTCCAGAGTTCCACTTCTGCAGTGTAAACTTGGAGCCATGACCACCAGGTTTCCCTGCTTTATCACTAAGGTCTAACACTTGGTGCTTCATGACAGTAATGAATACAAGTGTTAATGTCTGAACCAAAGAAAGTGGGTTAAAGAGATTGATAACATTGAGTTTAGTTCTCAGCCACGCCACTTGCCAACTGTGTTTTCATAGGCAGGTTATTACTTAACCTTTCTGAGCCTCAAATTAGGGATAAGAGACTCTACCTCACTTTTTAGGGATGAAAGTACCTACATAGGGTCTACCACATTGTAGATGCTCAATAAGTAAAAGATTGCAATGGGCAAATTGCTAGAGGAAACATCCCAAATTCTGGCAAGGTATGATTCTATCTTATATTCCAAAATGTGCAGAAGAGGAAATATGGAATAAGCCAATTCTATTTGTCTGCAATTGTCAGGAAGGCATCATAAGACCAGTTTTCACCACTGCATGTTCACCTTTCAGGCTCCTACCATCTCACCAAATTCATTTCCTTCTTTGTCTGAAGGTGGGTTTTTAAAGTACAGCCCATATGTCAGCATGATGTTGATTAGATGTCACCTTACATTCCTAAATAAAACGAAAGCATATTGCAGTAGGTTCAGTGTATCTCCCCCAAAATATATGTCTAGACCTAAACCCTGATCTTATTTGGAAATAAGGACTTTGCAGATGTAATAAAGTTAGAATGAAAAAGCATGAAAATTACTATTCATAGAAGTAAAGAGAGGGGAAAAGAGGATAAGCAAGAGGAGAACACACAAGAGATGGGAGCAAAGGAAAGCCATAAAAGCAAATGTGGGTAACAGCTGGCAGTGTTGGACAGATCCGGCTTCCAGCTTAGTGAAATCAGGTGGGGCTGACTTGACAGTTGCTGCAGGGGACAGGTGTCATGAAGTCTGCCTGCCTAGGACAATTGCAAAGGTCATACAAGGTCAAGGCAGAAGCCAGAGCTAGAAATGCCCATGTTAGGCTCTTGTCAGGCATTTGATCATTTTTCCATCTTACATCTCACGAAGACTCTGGGTTTGCTTATGCTTGTAAAGGGCTAGTTTGGCACACAGATGGAATTTCTACCTAATCCTGGAAAGCTGTGCTTCATGTAAGTTTACATTATCAGTCTGTAACTCCCCTCATCAGCCACTACTGCATCACCCTATTCATGTATTACCTATGGGGACTTGGGTTATTCCTTCCTCCCGACCTTTTATATACTGATTGGAGGCCAAAACCCACAGGCAGGCCGGATTCACCAGGGGTCAGGGCTGGATAAACAGAGCAGCAGTGTGGAAGTACCATTGGCCACTCACAGAGAAGCACAGAGAACTGGTGTAGGATCTGTTATTGCAAATAACTGTGGTTCCTTCCCTATTACCTCAGATAAGGGAGATAAAACTATGGCCCACATGCAGTTTTAACTAAAATTTCAACCTGTACATGGCTATTTTTGAAAGACTCGGGCCAAGAGCTGATTCTAAAATGTTATTTAGAAATTATTCTTGAGGTCCCTCTCTGTGCAGCACTCTGGACTAAGTCTATGGGACTTAGAGTCAGAGATCATGACTGTTAGAGGCTCATAATTTGGTGTGGAAGAACAAGCCATGTGAATGAATATTCAAACACAAAGGTGGATGAAGGGGCAGGAAGAGGCCAATGGGAAGGCAGGTGACGGAAAGGTCAGTCATATGTACACAGGTGGTTTTTAAGTGCTCACTCTGTGCCAGGGGCTGGGGAGACAAAGAAGAAGAAGCAATAAGAATAAGGGTCTTCCATTGGGAGGATCAGAGTCAGAATATGTTCAACGTACACAGTGGTTTCTAGCAACGTCTCTCCTGCCCCCTTTATCCACCCAGTTCTCTGTCTCTGATCACTCTAACCTATTATTTTCCCCCACAGACTTCATTCTCTGAAACAATCTTGCTCATTTATTTGGTCACTTGATAATAGTTTTAGTTCCTCCACTGGAATGTTAGCTTCATAAGAGCGTATTCTATACTAGCCCCAATCCCTAGAATGGTGTCTGGCCACTAAGAGTTACTCAGTGAATGTCGACCAAATGAGATGTAGCCAAATAGGAATCACCGAGGCCAGTAATGAAAGGCATTAAGGGCATTGGGTTTGGATCCAGACTATCTGGGTTCAGACTTCGGCTCCTCCATTTACTCACTGTTTTACTTTGATCTAGTTACTCTACCTTTCTATGCCTCAGTTTCCCTTAATGCCTAATATAACCAGCCTCGTAGGATTATTAGGAGGATTGAGTGAGTTAATACACATAGTAAAAAGCACTTAAATCAGAGGCTAGCAAACATTTTCTTAAAGAGCCAGTTGGTACATACTTTGGGCATTGCACGCTATGTGGTCTCTGTTGCTACGACTCAGCTCTACCTTTTGTGTTGTCACACAAAAGCAGGTGTAGACAACACATAAACAAATGTGTGGCCCAATTCTAATTACAATATTAAGAATTATAGCACGATGTAACATAACCTATAAGAACTATAGCACAAAATAATATTCTGTTGGCCAGGGAACTAGAAGTCTTTCTTTTGTGATTCCAAAGCCTCTGAGCCACAGTTTAGTCATCTGTACCATGGAGATAATAACTACGCTTTGCTACCTCACTGGGTTATTTGGTGATTGCATAAGATAAAAGATTAAATGAAAAGTACAAATGTACTGTGTACAAATAAGGCAAAGTGCTCTATAAAAATGGTTCTATAGTGCTGTTTGGATCCAAGATTGTCACGCAGTAGGTAGGTCAGATATTATTACACCCATTTTACAGATGAGGACGCCAGAGACATTAAATGACTCATCTGAGGTCACACAGCTGATAAATGAAAGACCTAAATTGGAACCCAGACAATTTTTATTCTAGCACAGTGTCCTTAACAACACATTCGGACTCCCCACACACTGAACAGAAACCTTATGCTACAGAGTTTCTCTTGGGATTTTTCTCCTTTACCTTTCTTTCACATGAGTATACCATTTCTCTAGGCACATCCCATACCAAAGAATTCCATAAGTCCTGCAGCACTTGTTTCTTGTCCTTATAGTTATCAAGAAATAATTATATATATTCAAATTATATATTCAGCCCACACTTTGTCTTGTCAAAAAAAAAAAAAAAAAAGGAAAAGAAACATTCAGTGGCATGCCTGTTCCTTAATTAGCTTTCATGCAAAAGAGAAAAGTTCACAACGTATTTCTATCCCTATTCCCCTTGCCCTGCAGTACCCCAACACACACATTTGTAAGAAACACAAAAGTCTGGTCAGTTTGTATGTGGGTTGAGTTGTGTATGTTGTGTTACTGTAAGAAACTTACTTGGCCTATGTCTATAATAACAAAGAGTTGAACCTTTGGTTGTTGATGAAGACTTCCTTTACTTTTGATTAGGATGCTGGAGGCCTGCAAGCATGGAAACTCAAGATCCCAGCTTTGAGCTACCATGTGAATAGAGCTTACAACCGTACTGCCAGCTAAATGCCTGTGAGGGAACAATCCACGTGCTAGATATTTTTTAACCTATCAAAATGGCTAAAATTAAAAAGACTACCAATACCAAGTATTGGCAAGAATCTAGGGAAACAAGAACTCTCTTACATTGCTGGTGGGAATGTAAAATGGTATGGCCATGTTGGAAACAGGTTGGCAGTTTCTTAAAAAATTAAACTTACACTTCCCATATGACTCAGCAAATCCATTCCTAGATATCTATCCAAGGGAAATAAAAATATATATCCACACAAAGATTTGTATGCAAATACTCATAGCATCATTATTCATAATAGCCAAAGTCTGGAAACAACCCAATGTCCATCAACTGCTAAATGGATAAGCAAAATATTGTGTTTCCATACAATAGAACACTACTCAGTAATAAAAAGAATGAATTACTGATACATGTAACAACATGAATTAATCTCAAAAACATCATGCTAAGTGAAAGGAGACAGATATAAAATAACATATGCATACAGTTCCATTCATATAAAATCTCTAACAAGAGCAAAATTATGCAGCAATAGAAAACAGATTGAAGGGCTGGGGTGTGAGCAGGAATGAACTACAAAAGGGAATGAGAGAACTTTTTGGGGATGTTGAAAGTATTCCAAATTTTAATTGTGGTGATGGTTACATAACTGTATAAATTTGCTAAAACTCATATAACTGTACACTTTAAATGGATGAATGTCAAGGTATATAAATTATACTTCAATAAAGCTATAAAACAGAAGTGTTGAGTATTTTTTAAGTTCAGTTGTATTTTTCTTTAAAAATGTATATGTTTATTTTAGAATGTGTGAAAGGTATAAAAATGAAAAATAAAAACCCTAATCCCACCTGCCAGAGATAACTACCACTAAGGTTCTTTAATGAGTTAATATTGAAAACACTATTATACCCTGATAGTTTTCACCTAACGTTACATCCTGAGCATTTTACCATTTTAAATTATTCAAACCTATGATATTTAGTGGCTATATAATATTACATTATGTGTGCTATGGTAGTAGATTTACCAATTCCCCTTTAGTAGACATTTAGATATTTACAATTTTTATTCTTATGAAGCTAAATTCTGAAAGTGTAAATAAGGTCCAAAGTTTATGGATGATTTTTGAGGCGCTTGATAAATACATATTTCTAAATTGCTTTTCAGAAATATTTCATAATCAGTGTAAGAGAGTGACTATTGCACTGTTACTTGGCAGCACTATTGTTTTCTTTCTTTATATATTTAAATATTTTTAATTACTTGTATTTCTGGTGAGATTAATTCTTTCTAAGGTACTACCATGGTCATTGGGGCTGTTTACACATATTCCAGTTCATCTCCCTTTGGAAATACAACAGGTTTGGACTCTTCTCTCCTTTTGAAAATTATGCTTGACCATGGGACTTGCTTTGGCCAATGAAATATGAATAAAGTGACATGTCACTTCTGGCCCAAAACTTTAGGAGCCAGCGCACAATTTGCCACATTTCCCTATTTTGTGCGTGTGTGATGATGAGAGTGTGAATTGAGATGGAGCTTCTGTCAGCCTGGGGCCCTAAGAGACCTGGATGACCTTGGCTCCCCAGTCAACCCACACTGGGAGGTAGCATGAGTAAGAAATAAATCTTATTGCATCACTGAAATTCAGGGCTGGTTATCACTGAAGCATAATTGAGATTATCCTGACTGATATGATTCCATGTATTATTGTATAACAATATGGCAAAAAATTGATCAATGTCCTTTCACTTTAGGAAAATGCATAAATTGATATGAGGGCTGTGTGATTCTGAGACAAAGGGAAAACATATGTCTTCATAGCCTATGATTTTTCAATTTAAAAATAATATTGTAGTGCTTGCTTCAGCACCACATATACTAAAATTGGAATGACACAGAGAAGATTAGTGTGGTCCCTGTGCAAGGATGACATGCAAATTCTTGAAGCATTCCATATTTTTTTAAAAAAGAAAATAATATTGTAATGTATTTCTACAAGTAAAGTGAAGAAAGGAAATTATATGATTCATAGGAATAAAGTAAACCATGAGTTTTGTGAAAATGGCACCAAAAATTCAGAAAGAAAGGGAAAAGTCAACTGAGACTCTAAGTTGATTCGTTCCTGTTTTGTTTTGTGTCCTTCTACTGGTGTTACCCAGACAGCACTGCATGCAATGTGGCTGAACAGGTGCAAACTTGCACTGCTGTGATAAGAAAAGGTATTTAGTAGTGTTACACAAGACATGTTATGACAATCCAGCTTCTGCCAGTGAATGGAGCATTTTGTGTTTGGATCCCAAAGAAGTTACTCTTCTTGTCAAAGGAAAGAAGCTAAATTATCCTTCCCAAGGCCACACATAGGCAGAAACATATACAGGATGCAGAAGGTCAGGTAGAACCACAATGGCAGGGAAACAGAGGCTCAATAAGGAGATAACATTCTGCCAATCATATTTGTGGACAGACCAGAAATATTCTAGCATAGGGATTAAGGACCCCAAAGAAGTGACTTCTCAGAACAAGTAGGCTTAAGATTTGGGGCCAGAATCTAAACAGAATCTACAGAACTTGTACAATGCAAGGAGAAAAATACCAAATGGCTAAGCAATCTCACCTTTAAAAATGATAACAGAACTCTCTCCTAAATAGTATTCTTTGTTGGTATACATAAAATGCTATGTGTATATACACATATACATACATATGTATATATACATGTTATGTGTGTATATATATGTATATATATGTATATATACATAAATGTTATGTGTGTATACATATGTATATATACATAAATGTTATGTGTGTATACATATGTATATATACATAAATGTTATGTGTATATACTCACATACATAAATGTTATGTGTATATACTCACATACATAAATGTTATGTGTATATACACACATACATAAATGTTATGTGTATATACACACATACATAAATGTTATGTGTATATACACACATACATAAATGTTATGTGTATATACACACATACATAAATGTTATGTGTATATACACACATACATAAATGTTATGTGTATATACACACATACATAAATGTTATGTGTATATACACACATACATAAATGTTATGTGTATATACACACATACATAAATGTTATGTGTATATACACACATACATAAATGTTATGTGTATATACACACATACATAAATGTTATGTGTATATACACACATACATAAATGTTATGTGTATATACACACATACATAAATGTTATGTGTATATACACACATACATAAATGTTATGTGTATATACACACATACATAAATGTTATGTGTATATACACACATACATAAATGTTATGTGTATATACACACATACATACATATTAGTAGTAGTTAAAGTATAATCATTCTAAAAAATTATTTTGCCTTCTTCGAAAAGTCCCAAGCTTCAGAACTCCTGTGGGTATTGTTATATAGAGATACAAAAGATATCTTGGTAGTTCCCTTATGTGACCACTATCGTCAAGTTTCTGGTGCCCAGAATGGCATAAACACACACATGCACATCATCTCTATGTCCTCACATCTGTCTAAACAATGCACCACTTTGTGCTGTTTTTATGCAGGTAAAGAGCTATGGCTAAAGCATGAGTGATTTGTTCCTTTATTACCAAAATATTTATAGCAGCCTTGATGTGACTTATGTAGAAGAAAATTAAATAGCAAAGAAATTGTGGCCGGGCGCGGTGGCTCACGCCTGTAATCCCAGCACTTTGGGAGGCCGAGGCGGGTGAATCACGAGGTCAGGAGTTTAAGAGCAGCCTGGCCAACACAGTGAAACCCCGTCTCTACTAAAAATACAAAAAATTAGCTGTCCATAATGGCAGGCACCTATAATCCCAGCTACTCAGGAGGCTGAGGCAGGAGAATCGTTTGAACCCAGGAGGCGGAGGTTGCAATGAGCCGAGATCATGCCACTGCACTCCAGCCCTGGTGACAGAGTGAGACTCTGTCTCAAAAAAAAAAAAAAAAAAAGAATAAAGAAAGAAAGAAAGAAAGAAAGAAATTGTAGCAGAATTACAGTTAGAAATAAGCAATAGACTTAGTTTACAAAATTTAAAAATTGGCAAATACAAATTTTACATTTGGGAAAATTATTGGAAAAAAATCTGTGTTCAGATTTTAAACTTTGGTTTCAAAGCCATTTTAATGAGAACATTAAAAGGGAATTTTTATTTTTCGAAAACAAGAGCAGTAGATTACTTATTCACCAAATTTTATATAATCATAGAACATCTATTAGGCAGTACAATTGAGTGCAAAGGAAAAAGAACCGTAGCTCTACTTCTGCGGGAGAAAACAATAAAGAAACAAGAAAGCATGTTCATTTTCTTCTCCTATACGTATATTAGTAAAATAAGACTAATATCTACAGGTCCTGGGAATTGATTTTGAAGCTATGTCTTAATAATAATAGCTAATATTTATTGAGAATCTACCATGTGGCAGTCAATTTACATGTGTTACCTTACTTCATCTTCACAAAAACCTGATCAAGTCAGCTGTGGTAGACTCAATTAATGGTGGTCCACAATTAATAACACCTTCCAGTATTATACCCTCTCCCACATTGACCATGGGCCTGGCCATCTGATTTGCCTTGTCCTGTGGGACATTAGCAAGCATGATACAAGTAGAGGCTGAATAAGTGCTTGAACATTGGATTTGTCTTCTCAAGATCTATGTTGCCATGTAAAAAGCTCAGGCTAAATTACTAAATCATGAGAGGTCAACTGGAGAGAGGCTCTGGAGAGTGAGAAGCCATCTTGGACACTCCAACCCCAGCCAAGCTCTCAGCTGATTATTGTTGAATAAGAGACCCAAGCAAAGCCAGCAGAACCACCCAGCTAAATCCCAACCCACAGAATAATTTTAATGTAATAAATCATTAGGCCAGGTATGGTGGCTCACGCCCGTAATCCCAACACTTTGGGAGGCCAAAGTGGGCGGATTGCTTGAGGCTAGGAGTTCGAGACCAGCCTGGGCAACATGGTGAACCCCATCTCTTAAAAAAAACCTCAAAAATTAGCTGGGCGTGGTGGTATGCACCTGTAGTCCCAGTTACTCGGGAGACTGAGGTGGGAGGATGGCTTGAGCCTGGGAGGTGGAGGTTGCAGTGAGCCAAGATTGTGCCACTGCACTCCAGCCTGGGCGACGAAGTGAGACCCTGTCTTAAAAATAAATAAATAAATGATAAAAGTAATAGGTCATTTTTGTTTTAAGCCACTATACTTTGGTGTGGTTTGTTACATAGCAATAGATAACTGAAATATGACTAATATAATTTACAATTGATGTATATGTTAATTGTGAGCCAGAGAGGTTAAATACATAGTCAAAGTCTTATAAAAAGATTGTAATTCTGGGCTGGGCATGGGGGCTCATGCCTGTAATCCCAGCACTTTGGGAGGCCGCGGCAGGCGGATCACGAGGTCAGGAGTTCGAGACCAGCCTGGCCAACATGGTAAAACCCCATCTCTACTAAAAATGCAAAAAAATTAGCCGGGCGTGGTGGCACACACCTGTAGTCCCAGCTACATGGGCAGCCTGAGGCAGGAGAATCACTTGAATCCGGGAGGCGGAGGTTGCAGTGAGCTGAGATCACACCACTGACTCCAGCCTGGGCAACAGAGTGAGACTCTGTCTCAAAAAATAAAAAAAAAAAAAAAGATTGTAATTCCAAATGTACCACACAAAATCTCGTGTTCTTTCCACTACACTTTCCTAAATTCCAGGCTTATATATCCAAACTGCTTATTTGACATGTCTCCTTGGTTCTCTAATAGGCATTTCAAACATAACAGGCCCCGAACAAAACTCTTGAGCCCTTCTTTCCAAATTTGCTCTTCTCTCTGGGTTCCCTACCTCAGTAAATAGCACCAGCACCCATCTAGTTGCCTAGTTGCTCAGGAAAAAAAAAACAAAAACCTAGGCCGGGCACGGTGGCTCACACCTGTAATCTCAGCACACTTTGGGTGGCCAAGGCGGGCGGATCACTTGAGGCCAGGAGTTTGAGACCAGCCAGGAGTTTGAGACCAGACATGGTGAAACCCCATCTCTACTAAAAATACAAAAATTAGCTGGGCGTGGTGGTGCATGCCTGTAATCCCAGCTACTTGGAAGGCTGAGGCATGAGAATTGCTTGAACCTGGAGGCTGAGGTTGCAATGAGCCAAGATCATGCCACTGCACTCCAGCCTCAGCAACAGAGTGAGACTCCGACTCAAAAAAACAAACAAAAAAGCCCTGGAATTATCATTGACTTATCTCTTTTACTCACACCCCCTCAACCAATCTATCAGGAAATCCTGTCAACAATAAGCTCAAATACACCTCTGAATCTTACCTCTACTGTTCGTTCCCTCCTCCTCAACCACCCTAGTTCAAGCCACGATCACGCCCGACTTGAACGACCACAATAGCATATGGGGAAGAGAAAAAAGGAAAAAAAATGGCACTATAGAGAGCATGGAGGGTAAAGGGACAATAGAAAAATACTTTCTGATTCAACAGTTCTTGTTGTCACTGCCATCCCCAGCACCAGCCCAAACAGAGGGACGTTCTACAAAGTACCTTGGTAGTACTCTTCAAATGGTGGCTATCTTCAGAGAATGAGTCTGGAATCTGGCAGAACGAGGGGAATGTTTTCTCTCTTTACTTCTCTGCCGCAGCTTTACTCATTTCTAGAAAAGCATAGTGAATTGGTGTTTGTGCATCTCATGCCCTATAATCAATTAGAAAATAAGGTTCTACATGTGATTTTGGAGAGATTACAACTGGAGGAGAATAAGATCTTGAGCAAGCTTGATCCCTTCCTCTGTACACCAAAATGCTGCTTTGTATTTTGGTAGTTTACTCCTCAAGAGAGAAGATGTGGGCAGGAGAAGGTTAATTGAGTAAGCAAAACCATGACTTCCAATAGAGAATGTTCAAAAAAAAAAAAAAAAAAAGCACCAGGATGTGTTAGCCCAATAAATAATTCATTGGACTGCCTATTCACAGACTAATAGAAAAATATTACAGAATACCTACATGTCAATCAGTTAGTTAAATAAACTAACTGCAGTTAGTTAAATAAACACTCTATGTAGATGTCACCTGTAAAACCCAGATTTATACATTCATCGTATGTTTTACCCAGGCAAAAACATAATATCTAGTAACTTGACTTCAAAAACTATTAACATCTCATGCCCTTGAAAAGGTTACCTGACATCTTGTAGGCCAGATCCAGGGTTGAATAGACATGTCCCCTGCCACTGAGCTTACAATAGCCAAACATTCAAATGACACTTTAGTTACTTTTGCTGCCCTTACAGAGAAACATTGAGAGTTGTGATCCTTCCGGGCCTGCTGGAATTCTCCTGACTTCAGGGGGCACAGCTGCAGCAGTGAATGCAAAGGCAAAATGTGGATTTGCAAATGCCCCAACTCCAGCTCAGTCAGAAACTCCCATTTTTACTCAAATAATTTCCTAATTATTTGATATACTTAAAAAAAGATGAAAATGATAAGCCCTGCTATCCCAGGAATTGTGCTTTATATGGCCTTTTTTCTACTCAATCTTCACAACAACTTTGTGAGGCAGGTATTATTATTATGACTCTACTTTTAGATAAAACATCTAGAATATGATAAAACTGAGAGCAACAAAAAGCATCATGAGTAATATGACAAATTGACACCACACAGTGCCTGATAAGAGGCAAAATAAGGAATCAAATCACTTCTGTGATATTTTTAGTAAAAGTGTATAAACTGAACTCAATCACCACCAGACCAACCCGAATTGAGGGACGTTCTAAAAAATACCTTGGCAATACTCCAAATGCATCAAGGGCATGAAAGACAAAGACAGACTGAGAATCTGTTGCAAATCAAGGAAGACAAACAAAACAAGACAAACTAAATGCAACACGTAAATTTGGGCTGGATCTTGGAGCAGAAAAAAAAGTAGATTAGTGAGACTATTGGTGAACTTGAGGACTGTAGGTCAGAAAATAGTATTTTATCAATGTTAACTTCCTGATTTTGATCATTTCACTGTGGCATGAAAAATGTTAACATTTGGGGAAACTATAAGAAGGGTAATCAGAAATTTTTTCTTACTTTCTGTGTAAGTAAAAAATTATTTCAAAATTAAAAGTTGAAAAGTGGGGAAGAAAAGAAAGTAAAAGAAATAAACACTAAATGCAGCATCCCAGTAGGGAATCTGGAGAGACAGAGAAGGTGGTACCGTATTTGGGGTGGGAATGAATCTCTTCTGACAGCTGGAAACCATTTGGGGTTTGTCCTTGGAGTGGTTTATCCAGAAGATCAATTTCTGAAGTGTAAAATTCTTGTGACTGACAGGCTGTTGGAGTTGGAAGAGAATGCAGAGGTACTCTGAGGGCTCTCATCTTGCAGAAATGACATCTGAAGCTCAGAAAGGCATGAGGATGATGGGCCCAAGGTCATACAGCTAAAGAGCCAAGATAAGAACCTAGCTTTTCTGGGTCATGGGATACTATTTCTATGCCACCATTCATTTCTGAAAGTGGACACCTCCCGGCTCAAGCCCATAATCCATGGTGTAGGGGCTTTATCCATTAGGCATGTGATTCTACCCACCTGCTAGAGATTTTCTTCTGGAGCCAGATAGTCATTCACTTATTCACTCATTCAACAAATATTTATTGAGTGCCTCCCAATGCCAGGCATTACTTGAATGGTAAATGATACAGCAACTATCAAAAACAAAGTTCTCAAATTCTAGTGGACAGACCGAAGTACTGATCCAGTGTCCACCCTTAGTGACCTGCATGACCTTGGGCACATTCCTTTACCTCTCTAAGCCTCAGTTTGCTCTTCTGTAACACAGAGAAGATGGAATTACTCAAGGATTATTCTGAACATTAAGTAAGATATTGCATCTAACCTTTTAGCAGAATTGTCTGGTGTGTAAGTACTCAGTAAATATTAAGTATTACTGTTAATGTGTTTTTCTCTCCAACCGGGAGCTCTGTCAGTTACACTAGCTTGAGGAGATATCTGGGTGCACTCAGAAATTCTATACTATATTTCTAAACGCATTGAAAACTCACATTTAAGAAGGTGAGTTTTTCCAACAGAGTAATTTTCCATTTCCCACTCCATTTCTTTGTTATTTTCAAAGGTAGATAAACAATAAAAAGAAAGGGCAAGAAAGGCCAACTGAGAAAATTGGTGCTGAGCGAGGAATTCAAATGGGAATTACAATATGTGGAATATCTGATAGGTTTTATCTAGATTTAAATGAGACTGCTCTTGGAGGCTGGTTGCATCTAGCCTCTTCATGGGCATAATTTGAATGACACTTTAGCCACCCCATGATTATTTCTACAAATGGAAGGAATACTAGATTATCTGACATAAAACAAGATAAGCAGAACTTGCTAGTACTGCTTGGAGCAAGCTTCTGGTGCCTTCCTTACTGCTATATCCTAAGAATATGACCATTAATTCCTCTCTGCCATGTTGCTTGTTGCCTGTCTCCCTAGGGTCAGGTCTTTCCAGATATCTACTTTCTTCCCTTCCCTTCACCACCCCCAGCACCAGCAAAAGGCCTTAAACATAGAAAGTGTTAAAGAAATGTATGTTGGCTGAGCATCGTGGCTCACACTCGTAATCCCAGCACTTTGGGAGGCCTAGGTGGATGGATCACTTGAGGCCAGGAGTTTGAGACCAGTCTGACAAACATGATGAAACTCTACAAAAAAAATACAAAAATTAGCCAGGTGTGGTAGCATGCATCTATAGTCCCAGCTACTTGGGAAGCTAAGGCACGAGAATCGCTTGAACCCGGGAGGCAGAGGTTGCAGTGAGCCGAGATCTTACCACCACACTCCAGCCTGGGTGACAGAGTAAGATTCTGTCTCAAAAAAACTAAAATTAAAAAGAAATAAAAAGAAATGTATGTTGGCCCAGTGTGTGGTGACTTATGCCTGTAATCCCAGGAGTTTGGGAGGCTGAGGCATGAGGATCACTTGAGGCCAGGAGGTCCAGACCAGCCTGGGCAACATGACCCTACAAAAAATTACAAATACACTATATATATATAATATATATATATATATATCTCCTAATAAGTCCAATGGTAATCAGAAATACCAACAATGGTATCAGAAATAAAGTCCAATGGTAGTGAGAGACTCTTCAATTCATTCAAAATTCTATCTATGTATTTGCAGATGTTGGGACTGAAGTGAACAGAAAGTACTTTGGTTTTGCATCCTTTCTATGCAACAATTTTCAATGAGAGGTAGAAAAATTTAAGGGTTACATTTCATATGCTCCAGTCACAAACTCTTTAGAGGAATGATGATAATAAATCCAATCAGTAGATTTATCTGGGAGAAGAATTAATGGGTCACATCCAATGTATATATCTTCAAATTCCTTAATAAGCAGAGATGGACCAGTATTTTTTCAGTGTCCCTGGTGATTCTATGGGGCAGCCAGGGTTAAGAATCAATGCTGCAGATATTTACATAGTCAAGTACCCAGCCTAGCAGACTAGGCATTTGCCACTCCCAATTTCAAATTCCCAGAGGAGAGAATTTGTGTGGCTCAGGTTGGGTTAGGTATATACCTCAATCCCAGTTAAGTTGGCCCAACAGGCAGGATCACATAGTGCAAACAGGTTGACTTGGGGTCTCATTCCTGTGGCTAAGGCAGTTCCTACAGAAAAATGGGGAGAAGAGTGTTATTGTATGTTGGACAGACACCTAAATATGTGGCTTGACAGATATATGGAGTTCTTACTACTTGTTCCAGAACAATTGAAGACAGCTTGCAAAGACACAAACAATGCAGGATGTTAAAAAATCCATCAAATTAAGATACCTATGGAAAATAAAAGAGATTGTAGGAGGAATCAGGTGAAAACGAGGTAAGATTAGTGTTCCAAGTTATGCCCTGAAGGCCAGCACACTCTACTAGAAGTGCATCCCAAATTTGTATGTAAGCTTCCTTGCAGCAAACACTAAAACTGAAAATCAGCTACCCAATTCCCAGTATTCATAAGGTAACATACCAGTCCCCAGGAGAAGGGCAGCTTTCCCTGAAGAGAAAAGAGTGAAGGTGAAGGAGCTGAAGAAGGTGACTTTTCAGTCACTGGAGAAGAATTTCTCTTCTTTGGCTTCGTGAGCCCTAGACTTGATCTTCTTGCAGGAAATAGGGCAATGAATTGTTACGACTTCCCTTGCCCAGACCTGTAGCCCAAGGTAAAGTGCAGAGGGCAGGGTGCAACCTGAGCTTGGTGTGGAGTGCCTGTAACACTGATGAAATAGAGAACAACTTCAGCCGAGACTTCATTTTCTTTTCTGAAGAGAAATCTCCTACTTAAAATTTCCCTTAAACCTGCTTCTCCTCCACTCCAACCACAACCCCAACCATACCATAAACTTTCTGGTGTCAAAGTTGGGTTGTTTACTTACACAAGACTCAAGCACTTAACTAGATGGAAACCACATTAGGGTTGATTCTCTTTAAAGGAACTCTGAGGGAGTTTGAAGTTCTCTATGTGATTGACATCAGTCAGTTCACAGAGGAAAGATGAGCATTTATGAGATGGGGATGTGAGATGAAAAGGAAACGAGAAAAGGAAATGAGGTTTGACAGCCAGGGTGCTGCCATTTTGAGTTCACTTTCCAGAAACTTACCCTACTGTTTATCCTCCACCTAAATCCATCTTCCAAACAGACTTGAGTTCGATCTCATTTAATTTAATCAGGAAATTTTCTATTTCCCTATATTAAGTAGGGTCGACATATCAGAGAAATGAACAAACAAAAACCAACTGTGGCAAAGAATGTCTGTTTTGTTGGCAAACAACATGAAGATGGAGATGATTCAGCCATGGGCCATTTGGAGATCATTTAAACAGCTGCCCATGCCTGGGTTCCACTTCGATGGTGCATCCAGACATAAGACTCCTAATCCAGTGCTCTTCTTTCTCCTTCAGCACTCTATTGGGCCCACTAAGCAAGTACTGAGCCATCTCAGGGCACAGAGTAAAAGGCCATGACATTCAAAGGGGCAGGGCCTTGGAATCAAACAGGTCTGGGTTCTAAACCTGCTCTGTTCAATAACTCAACCTCTCTCAGGCTAAGTTTTAACACCTCTGAAATGGAGTAATAATGCCTCCTGTTGAAGTTAGAGATAATGTAAATATTAGCAACAATGCCAAGTATTAGAAATAATACAGCACATAAATTAGAACCTGGAAGGTAAATAGGAGGAGTTCTATAACTGAAAGTAATTATTCAGTCCACCTGCTCATCAATCTACTTATTATTTTTATTGCTTTTTCCTGTTCTTTGCTAGTTCTGAATATAAGCTACTAAGTCAAGTTGGGCAGAAAGAATGGAGTAGCAATGAGAGATTTCACGGTGGCTCATGCCTGTAATCCCAGCATTTTGGAAGGCTGCGGCGGGTGGATCACCTGAGGTCGAGAATTCGAGACCAGCCCGACCAACGTGGAGAAACCTTGTCTCTACTTTTAAAAAAGTACAAAATTATCCGGACTTGGTGGTGCATGCCTGTAATTCCAGCTACTTGGGAGGCTGAGGCAGGAGAATCTCTTGAACCTGGGAGGCGGAGGTTGCTGTGAGCCGAGATCGCGCCATTGCATTCCAGTCACCGGGCAACAAGAGCGAAACTCCGTCTCAAAAAAAAAAAAAAAAAAAAAAGAATCAGCTTCCTTCAGAAAGCCACAGTTCCAGAGGAGTATTCCACATCTCTAGGAAAGTGAACATAGGGGTTCATAGTTCAGGATTCTGCAATGGTTTTGGTGGTAGGAGTAACGGGAAGTGGGAAGTAAGCTGACTTTGCCCAGTAAAGAGAGGCTGTCACTGCAGCCTCACTGTGGATGTTTGTCTTGTAGCCCGTGCGTTGGCTCTTAGGTGCCAATTCGTCCATCTGCCTTCATCAGACTGCTGCACAGCTCTGGTCAAATACCTGTCTTCTACAGATAACAGTCCTCTGCTCTCCAGTCTCTGGAAACAAAGGATTCTAAAGCTACTTATCTTTGTATTCCTGAAATGTGCCTGTGTGACCTTCTTAGGATGCTTTTAATCCCTCGCTTATAACATCAATTTCTTTCTGATTATCAAAGTTATATGTATTCATTTAAAAATCTGGAAAATATATAAAAACTCAAGGAAGAAAAGAGCAATTCCTGCTAACTGCCCCACCTAGAGCTATTAGGCCTGCTGACATCTCCCTGGCCTTTTTTGTACCTAACATACATACATACATTCTTTCCATCCTTCCCCCACCAAATAGAATCCTATGATATATACTGCGGTATGTGCTTTCTTCACACAACAGTATATTATAAACATTCCCCCCATGCAATGAAATAATTTCTTTTTATTCTTGTTTTAGTCTCTTTACATCCTTAGAATCATCATGAGACCATGAAAGCAAGTCGGGAAACCTGGGTCCCAGCTGGCCAAGCGACACTGGGCAACTTATTCAGTCTTCACCTGGATAATCTACAAACTCCATCCCAGTCTCGAAGGTTTATGATTCCAAGCAGGGCACTAATCTTTTTTAAGAAAAACAAATGGACTCTGGATTTAAAAAGACAGACCCTCGGAAGCCCAGGTTTGCTCAAGCTCATATACGTATAATCTATGTAAGAGGAAAAATTGATGACCATCAGTGATCTTCCACAAATGCCAGACGTTATTCAGGAAGGGAAGAAAAAGTGCTTAAAATTCTCCAGTGCTTCTAATGGCTTGCTGAATTTGAACTCTGATCTCTACCATACCGTGAGTCCTTTACAGTTTATTGGACTGGATTATTTATGGCTGTGGAGGGAGCTGATCAAGGACTCTCTTTTTACTTTAGCACTCTGGCTACTCTCACAGAAGTACTATGTGCATTATTTCTGAAAAATGTTTAAAGGAGCTTTAGAATCTTTGTTTTCTGAATTTAAAAAAATGATAATTCCTGTGATTAACTAAATGTTCTTTTTACAGTGCAGAGTTTTCACCATTAAACCTGCATTTTTTCCTAATTCCATTTCATTTAATCACATCACAAATTTTCACTATTTTTAATCCTTATATTGCAAGGATTATTTCCACCAAAATATGTTCTAATTCATCTGACTAGATTATAGAAGGTTAATCAAAAACAAACCAAACAATTAAAAAGTAGATGAAATAACCAAATAGTATTGCCAGGAGAAAATGGGAAAATAAAAGCATATAAGGCATTCAGATAGATAGATAGATGATAGATAGATGATAGATAGATGATTCCATATACTACATATGTAATCACCACATTTGTTGAAAACAGTTGTTACATGCTACGTTTATTTCACATAAATATTTTGGTGGAGTCCAGTGCATAAGATTTGAAATCTGAAGACCAGCTGGATGTGTTATTCTTATCAAACCACTGAACTTCTCATTTATAGTGTTCTAAATTATGCCTTTTATAAATGTTCCATTTATAAAATGGAACAACAATACTGCCCATGAGAATCAAAAGAGAAAGTAAAAGTAAAAGCGAATCTAAACTGCAAAGTGACATACAAACGTAAAGATAAAAAACATACAGCTTGGTTTCTTTTTTCTTTCTTTTTTTTTTTTTTTAAATGGAGATGGGTGTCTCACTGTGTTGCTCAGGCTGGTCTTGAACTCTTGAACTGAAGTGATCCTCCTGCTTTGGCCTCCCATAGTGCTGGGATTACAGGCATGAGCCACCATGCCTGGTCAGCTTTGTTTCTTCCACTCATGATAGGAAAACTGAAAAGTTGCCAATTCCCCAAACTATTTTATTTTCCTTAATGGGGTTTCCCAGGAATGAATCTTTGAAGTTCTCCTTTTGGGTGCCACTTGCTGACTGAGACAACCTCAGAGCCCAGCATCTCCTTGGCAAAAACCCTGTGCCAGTTCTTGGACCTCAGGTAAGCCTAGTGGGCAGAACTGTGAGTTATGCCTGACTGTCTGACCTCGGCTTTACCGGCCACCCTTGCTCAGCTGGGCTACATATTTAACCTCTGGGTTAAATTCTCTTAGATTCCACTCTGGGACAATCAGCCTCACCATCTACTTCACTCAATAGGTTAAGGTCAAGAAGAAGGTGGAATGACAACTGGGAGCAGAGGCTTTTTGTAACACTAAAACATTTTTCCTCCTGACTGGAGTGGCAGGGAGGATCAGGGTGGTGCAGCGGTGAGCATGCTGGAGCCAGGCCCAAGATGCTTTGGCTGATACCAACTGTGCCTACTATACCTCAGTTTTATTATCTGGAAAAAGAGAATATTTTCAGCTGTAAGTGAGTTAATTTTAATAATTATCTCTGACATTTATATGGTGGTTTATAATTTACTTACATAATGTTGCTTGGTTTTATTCTCAAAAGAATGCTGAGAGATAGATAGTTTGATAGTTATTAGTCTCCCATGTTACAATGAAGATACAAGGGCTAAGAGAGATTATGCATTAAAGTGCTCAAGTGGTTAAAACACTTCAATAGCTCCCTATTGGCTCAATAATTTAGTCCAAATTTGATCATCTCTTCAGCTTCAGCCCTAGTCGAACTACCTGTAGTTTCTCTAAGGCAGGAATTCTCTAAGTGTGGTCCTTAGACAGGGAGCCTCGGCATCATCTGAGAACTTGTTAGAAACACAACTACTTGGGCCCCATCCAGTCCCACTGAATCAGAAACTATGAGAGTGAGGCCTTGTAATCTGTGCTTTCACAAATCCTTTAGGAGATTCTGATGCCTGCTGAAATTAAGCCTTAGAATGCATGCAAGGACTGTAAGGCGTTCCATTTTCTCTCTCATCTCCAGGCCTTTAACATGGTGCTCCACCTACATAGAAGGAGCTCCAGACCTGTCTCAAGCTCTGAATGCTACACTCATCCCCATACCCTCACAGCTCACTCACCCCAATCTCACCCCAGTGTCCCTTGAGTGGATTTACTCCTAAGTATCCCAAGTCTGAGAAGTTGTCTCTGGTTTTGTTGACCTCCTATGTGCCCCTAGAGGAACTTGTCCATTCCTCTAGAGAGGATCATTTCTCATGGCTTACTATTAAATTTTCTGTCTCCCTCAATAGGCCATATGCTTCTCGAGGTCAAGCAATATACCTTATTTATTTCTATATCCCCAGGGTCCAGCAGTGTCTGAAACTTAGCAGGTATCTAATAAAAGTTTGCTGAGTGGAGAAATGAATGATTAAATAAATGAATGAAATTAGTCATTGTGGCCAGGTGTGGTGGCTCATGCCTATAGTCCCAGCACTTTGGGAGGCAGAGGTGGGCAGATGACCTGAGGTTGGGAGTTCGAGAGCAGCCTGACCAACATGGAGAAGCCCCATCTCTACTAAAAATACAAAATTGTCCGGGCGTGGTGGTGCATGCCTGTAATCCCAGCTACTCGGGAGGCTGAGGCAGAAGAATCGCTTGAACCTGGGAGGCAGAGGTTGTGGTGAGCCAAGATCGCACCATTGCACTCCAGCCTGGGCAACAAGAGCAAAACTCTGTCTCAAGAAAAAAAAAATAAAAGAAAGAAAGAAAGAAAGAAATTAGTCATTGGGTGACACAACGAATACTTAAATCTGTATCAGCTGACTCCAGGCCAGACAGGACTGTGTATGAAAAGTGCTCAGCATGATACCTAGGTCATAGTAAGTGGTCTATAACAGTCCATTTTCCTTCCTTTTTCTTCCTCTGAGAACATTTTGCACAAAAAATTCGAGTACTGAACAAAAACAATGTTCTATTTTTGACTGATTGACCATAGGGAGGGTGAGGAATGGTTTCCAGCCATCCACCTAAAAGTCATGGTTTTCAAGAGAATCCTCAATCACAAACAAAATCTCTGACCACCACCAATAATAATTTATCATTTACTAGTTAGAAGATAGATGTCTTCTTTTGTTCTCATAGTTTAGTTTTCATTTCAAACTTCCTTTAGCAAAAGTTTTAAAATATTTTGGACAGGTGAAAGACTAGCAGTGGCACCATGATCATCTATATATCTACCATGAGCTCAGGGTTTCTCAGCCTCAGTGCTATGGCATTTTGGGATGGATAATTCTGTTGTTGGGGGCCTTCCTGTGCAATGTAGGATATTCAGCTGTGTACAGTCTGTTTTCACACTGCTATAAGGAACTACCTGAGACTGGGTAATTTATGAAGAAAAAAGGTTTAATTGACTCACGGTTCTGTGTTAACAGGAAGCATGACTGGGAGGCCTCAGGAAACTTACAATCATGGCGGAAGGCAAGCGGGAAGCCAGCATGTCTTACCATGGCCGAGCAGGAGAGAGAGTGAAGAAGGAAGTGCCACACACTTTCAAACAACCAGATCTCTTGAGAACTCACTCACTATCACGAGAACAGCAAAGGGGACGTCCACCCCCATGATTCAATCACCTCCCGACACGCTCTTCCCCTGACACGTGGGGATTACAACTTGAGATGAGATTTGGGTTGAGACAGAGCCAAACCATGACAAGCAACACCCCTGGCTTCTCACTAAATGCCAGTAGTGCATGCCCATGCACGCATACACATACCCTCCCCCTGACTTGAGACAGACAGAAATGTCTCCAAATGTTGCCAATGTTCCCCAGGAAGTAAAATTAACCCTCTTCCTTTGTAGAGAACCATTAACTCTGATCAGTAATTGTTAGCATTTTGCCATATTTGCTTTGTTATACATTTTCCCATAACCATTTGAAAATAAGTCACAGATAAGCTGGTAGTTCACCTCCACACACTTCACAGGCATCTCTTAAAAACAAGGACATCAACCTACATAACTACAATATTATTATATACATAAGAAGGTTTATAAATCTCCAATATTATCTAATACCTTGTCCATAGCCTTTACATGTGCAAGTGATATTAGCCTAAGTTTGGGAATGCAAGACATATTTTACTATCTAATTCTGGTCCTGTATTTGAAAGGCAAATTAATGATTATACAGTCTTTGCTGTTAGGTTGGAACAAGGAATTTGATTTCAAATGGCTTCCCTCAGCTTCAGTGTTCTGGTCAGGAATTCATGATCAAACTACAACATAGGTGCATCAAGACACTTGGTGATTTTAAAAAATAATAAAAATAAAAGTCTTTAAAACAAATGAACTGCTGAGCACACAGGTTGGCTGGCTGCATGCTTTGGTATTTTTAATCCCTAGGTATTTCCATTGTCTCCTTTCATCATTCTCTTTCTGACCTCATTTTATTTCCAGACAGCTTTGATACCTGGTTCATCATTCTGTGATCAGTTCTCATTTGACTCTTCATCTCCTTTGCCCTGCTATCTTTTACTCACAATCCTTGGCAAATTGATAGCCCTTAAAAAATTGAACCATTGCATTCTTCTCACTTTCACCAAGGATCTCAAGATTTGCTGAAGAAAAATCACCCAGATTTATGTCGTTATATATGCCTGGTCCCCATGTTTAACTGGGCTTCTACTGCCTAGAAATCTCATAGTGTTTTCCATATCTGATCTCTACAGTGGACATTTCACAGACCTGTGACCTCTGCCGACTCTCATTAGATGACCTCACCTCCTATTCACTGAGTCCACAGAAGTCATCTGATAAGAAAGTCTTCAACTTCCAACCCACAAGCTCACCTGCGTTCTCTTCTAGCTTTTCTTCCTTGTTCCTGACTTTAAAAAGTTGCCCCTGCTTTTGCCTAACACTCTTGCCTTTTGCTGTCTTAGGGAGCCAGTCTCTTTGTCATTTCTCAAGGGTTTGGTTTTCTCGTTGAATATTCTTCCTCTCTTCTGTTTCTCTAATCATTTCCTGACTACTTGTCTATCTAAACATAGTTAAGTCTCAATCTTTCTTGACCTCATGACAACCCTCAACTATGTCCTGATTTCTTCCATTTGCTTAACAACCAAGCCCCTTCAGAATGTTTCTGAAGGAAAGGTTCATGGACTTCATCAGATTATCACCCCTTTACTCCCAAGAAAGACTACAAACCTCTTCTCTACACGCTCTTCCTGGGAAATCTTGTCCACTCTCATGGCTTCAGTTACCCTCTATATGCCACTGGCTCCTGATACCTCTTCTGAGTTTTCCTTTTTCTGGATTTCCAACTGCACAGACACCAAACTCGGCAGGTTCCAAGATAAACCTGTTACTTTCCTCCACCCTCAAACAAGTTCCTACTTGATTCGTATCTTAGTAGGTGACACAGCCCCTTCTCCATTGCCCAAAGCTAAGACCTCGAGGCATCCTAGATAGTGCTTACCCTTCTTCTCTATATCCAATCAGAACTAAGCATCACAAAAGTTCTACTTTTTAGATGTGTCTCAGATCCACAGGCTTTATCCCTCTGGTGACCACTCCTGTCCAGATGGCCTGGGAGACTATGACAGCCTCATAATCAACCTCTCCGCTTCCAGTCTTGCTCCTCTCTGGTGCCTTTAGCATGAGGCAAACACCTTAATCTTTTTAATGTGTAAACCTAATGATTTCATTGGCTTAAACCCCATTAGTGGTTTGCTGTTGCCCTTAGGATAAGTCCAAACTCTAATGTGCTCAACTTGTCTCTTTATTACTTGCCTACCTCTCCAGATTCATCCTGAGCCCTTTATCCCAGCACTATCCACTCACAGACATAATGTTCCAAATATAATGGACTTACTTCAAGGCCTCAAATGAGCCACAGAGTCCATCACTTTTCAAACATTGCATATTCTGTTGTCTCCACCTGCAAATTCAAGTAAGCCACCAATTGGAGATTACCTGAGACATATTCCTTTGGCAACAGTTGCATATTATACACTATGACAGGCCAAAGCCACCATATAAGTAATAAAATTCCTTATGGTTTATATGGTACTTCATTTGTTGTAGGAGTAATAAATATTCACCATAGAAAATTTAGAAAAAGCAGATATGCATGTAGTTTGCATATATATGTGTATATGTTTATAATGTGCATATATAATATATATACATAAATTTTAAAAATAGGATCACCCTACACAGATTGTTTTTAAAATACAAACACATTTATTTTTGTGCCGAAAATTTCAAGTAAATAATTTAATAGCTCATCTAATTATATGCCCATGAAAATTAGAATAGTCATAAATTACAAGAAATTTCCATGATTTCACATGAGAACTGTTTTTTCTTTTCACCTTATTAAGAACTACCTTCGTCAACCTTCCAGCTACCTTTTGTTTTATAGTGATAAAATATACATAACATAAAATTTACAAGTTTAACCTTTTCTAAATGTACAACTCTGGCTGGGTGTGGTGGTTCATACCTGTAATGCCAGCGCTTTGGGGGGCCAAGGTGGGGGGATTGCTTGGGCCCAGGAGTTTGAGACTAGCCTGGGCAACATGGTGAAACCTTGTCTCTACAAAGAATACAAAAATTAGCTGGGCTTGTGCTGATAGTCCCAGTTACTTGGGAGGCTGAGGTGGGAGGATTGCTTGAGCCCAGGAGAAAGAAGCTGCAGTGAGCTGTGCTTGTGCCACTGCACTCCAGGCTGGTCAACAGAGCAAGACTCTGTCTCAAAAAAAAAAAATTTTTTTTGTGGCATTAAGTACATTCACAATGTTGTACAACCACCACTACTATTCATTTCCAGAACTTTTTCATCAAACAGAAACTCTGTATCCATTAAATAACTCCTCATGCCCTTCTCTACCCCACTCCTGGTAATCTCTACTTTCACATAAGTGTTTTATAATTTGTTTTTTTCCACTTAATTTCCAACACCTTTAACTATTCTCCAACATAATTCTTAATGGTTGCAAAGATTATAATGATTATGTCATAATTTAACTGGCCCCTCATATTTAAATACTTAAGTCCAGTTCTAATTTTTCAATCTCAAAAACAACACTACACTGAACTTCCTTGCCTTATTGTTTCTGAAGAAGTTTTTATCTCTCAAACCCTGTGAGAATTCAAAATTGATCATGCTATCTCCACATTAAAGATGAGAAGACGGAGCTCAAGTAGATTATGCTTTGTCTAGTGTCTCCATACGAGGAAGGGCAGAACTGGAACTAGAACCCAGGACTTCTAACTTGATACCACTGCTCTTCTATCCTGCCTCAGCCAGTCTCATTATTTCTCAATTTGGCAGAAGATGGCAATTAGGACAGAACAGCGGATTGGGGAATAACAAACGTCTGTGGAGCTGTGGAGAGATGGCCACACAAAGCTGCCAAGTCTGGGTTAAGTGGCATGATGGCTGACTTAAGATAGAGGAAGGAGACTGGGTGCGGTAGCTCACACCGGTAATTCCAAGGCTTTAGGAGGCCAGGGCAGGAGAATTGCTTGAGGACAAGAGTTCAAGATCGGCCTAGGCAACACAGTGAGACTTTATCTCTACCAAAAACAAACAAACAAAAAAATTAGCTGGGTGTGGTGGTGACCTCCTTTAGTTCTAGGTACTTGGGAGGCTTAGGTGGGAAGATTGCTTGAGTCCAGGAGTTTGAGTTTACAGTGAACTATATCACACCACTGCACCCCAGCCTGAGCAACAGAGCAAGACTCTGTCTATAAAGAAAAAAAAAGAAGATAGAGGCAAGGGACTTGTGAAATGTTCAAGGTCTACAAACCAAACTGGGATATCACAAGTCAAAAAAGAAGAGAGTGTAAACAAGCTCTGAAAGCTGCCAACAGCTAGGACCTAGGGATTGGCACCGCTCTATCGCTGGTCCCCAAAACACCCTTCGTGGGAAGAACTTGCTAGTATGGAATTCTCAGCCTCTGGGTTCCCACCATGTGCTGTGTGTCTATTTAAAAAATAATACAGTATAATAATCAGACTTGGGGAACTGTTTTGAACAAGTCGAATGGAACACACACACATAAATATTAAGTAGACTAGTTAAAACTCCAGTCTTCTTTGCTTTTTGGCAAAAATAATATAATCTTGGTGGAGAAAACACTAGTATTAAAAGCAGATTGTCTTTGACCTTAAGACAACATTTATTATTATCTTACAAATACAATTTATTTCATAGGAAAAAATCTTTAAAACATCAGGTCCATGGTGGAAAAATAGCAAAAGGGATTCTTTAAAGTAAATTGTTTGCAAATTTTCAATCAATTAATGCTGCCTTTACTCATTTATCCATTTTTCATTTTCATAATTTTACATAATTTGGGTTTCCCTGAAAGCAGATACTGAGATAAGAACTTTTGAGTGGGTAGCTTATTTTTGAGGTGATCCTAGGAAGCAGAAATGTGGGAGCTGGGAAGTTGAGACAAAGAAAAGAGGAAAGCCAATAAAGTGGTTTTTAAGGAGTGGGTTTCCACTGTGAGCAACTGTGGCTTATGTCTGCTGGGCATTGCTAAGGAACTGAGTTGACCATGCTCCAGAATTGTCCCATCAAGGGATGAGAGGCTACAGTGTTTATCCATCAACTTCTAAACCTTATTGACTGAAGGTTCCCTTTGGGGGTCAGTATTAAAGCTACCCTCCTCTCTTCTTTCTCTTGCACTTTTGGGCTCTAGGATCCAGATGAGCAGCCTTCTATGGCTGTGGAGAAAGCCCTGAGGCCAAAAGCAAACAAGCGCCAGGAGTGTGCCCTCAAGGTGTGCACAGGAAGTGTATGGAATGTGCATTGAAGTTGCTCTAAAGTCAGGTGGGCTGAGGCAGGTGGTTGAGAGACCATCAGTGTCTGTACGTACTTCTTTTGTACTTAAAACCTTCTCCATATAAAAACAAAACAAATAACACATCAAGCACACACACACACACACACACACACACACACACAAACACACACACACACACACACACAAATCTGCAGCAGGAGCAAAGCCTTTCCTTTGGCTACTACAGAAAAGCAAATTAGTATTTTAAATATTATATTAAGTTTAGAATGTGAATTACAGAGGAGAGAAACATTTATCTAGACAATTCTTCATTTGGCATCCACTAAAATTTAGGGATTGTCCTTTTCACACAAAGAACAATAATATAAAATTAGATGGCACTCTCAACATCATTAGTCATTAGGGAAATGCAAATCAAAACCACAGTGTGATACCACTTCATATTCACTCGAATGGCTATAATCAAAAAGATGGATGATAACAAGTGTTGGTAAGAATATGGGGAAACTGGAACCCTCATGTATTGCTGGTAGGAATGCAAAACAGTACAGCCACTTTAGTAAAAAGGTTGGCAGTTTCTTAAAAAGTTAAAGTTCCCATATGACCCAGCAATTCCACTCTGAGTAAGAAGATTGTATACATATCTTTATATAAAAACTTTTAACATAAATGTTTATAGCAATGTTATTCATAATAGGCAGAAAGTAAAAACAACTCGAATGTCCATCATCTGATTAATGGATAAACAAAATGTGATAAATCTGTACAATAGAATATTATTCAGCCACAAAAGGATTGAAGTACTGATACATGCTGTGACATGGATGGATCTTGAAAACATAATGTTAAGTGAAAGAAGCCAGTCACAAAAGGTCACATATTATATGATTCTATTTATATGAAATGCTCAGAATAGGCAAATAATCTTTTTTTTTTTTTTTTTTGAGACAGAGTCTCACTCTGTTGCCCAGGCTGGAGTGCAGTGACGCGATCTTGGCTCACTGCAACCTCCACTTCCCAGGTTCAAGTGATTCTCCTTAGGCAAATTCATAATCTTATGCATAAACATTCTGTACTTGGAGACAGAAAATAGATTAGTGGTTGCCTGGGGCTAGGAGTGGGAATGGGTTTTAGGATAAGACATCCCCAGATTCAACATTACAGGCTCTGATACGTTGGGCAATGTATTGAAAAACTCTTGACCTCAGTTTCCTCAACTATATAGTGGAAATAATAATACCAACCAACTGTGGAGATTAAATTGAGCATGTAAATAAGGAGTCTGATAGAAGAGACACATTTAGAAAATGGTAATTATTATTACTTCTGCTACTACTACTATTATTATTATTATGAACAAAGAACACAGGGTGAGGACCAATGCAGCATAAGAGACACAAAGGCTGAAACACACGCCGGGCGTGGTGGCTCAAGCCTGTAATCCCAGCACACTGGGAGGCCGAGGTGGGCGGATCACCTGAGGTTGGGAGTTAGAGACCAGCCTGACCAACATGGAGAAACCCTGTCTCTACTAAAAATACAAAAAATTAGCCAGGCGTGGTGGCGCATGCCTGTAATCCCAGCTACTCGGGAGGCTGAGGCAGGAGAATCACTAGAACCCAGGAGGTGGAGGTTGTGGTGAGCCGGGATCGCACCATTGTGCTCCAGCCTGGGCAACAAGAGCGAAACTCTGTCTCAAAAAACAAACAAACAAACAAACAAACAAAAAAACCACACACTAGAAAGTGGGCACAGAATCGTTGTGGAGAGATTGTCTGTGTTAATAATTTGATCATTCTAAGGCATTGAGGACTGTTTAAATTCAATTCCAGCTATCAACGAGGTAAAATGTGTTTTAAAAATAAATATGGAGAAAAATAGAAATTTTCATGGAGAAGTGAGGGGAGCAGATCACTTCTCAAAGACTGTAGAGAGACTTTACAGACCTCACGGGTAGAATCTCAGCCTTAGAATTAGGAATTATAGCAACAGCTAACTTGGCTAACCATCCCCCTGGGCCAGTACTCTTACAGACATTATCTCATTTATTCCACTTGATAATACCATGAGATAAATGCTATTATATCCCCGTTTTTCTAAATAAGAAAATAAATACTTCGAAGACTTAAGTAACCTTCCCAAAGTCATACGGCTGGAAAGGGGCTGCCTCAATCCCAAGCATGTGGTCTGCCAAGAAAGGGAGGTGCTGGCAAGGAGGAAGGAATGACAACCAAGAGGAATCTTGAAGAGGAAAGGGGTAACCTGTGGTCATTCCATTTAGATGGCCTCATCCAAGACTGTGACCTTCACACCTCCCAGCTGCATTCCCAATGTGTTCCCTGTGTACCCAACTCCAGGGGCACCATTCACAGATAGTACACTGTGAGTAGCGGCAAAGCAGCTGCCTGCTGCCATCATGTCATCATAGGTAGCAAAGTGGCTTATGAAAAGAAGATTGCAAGGTAAGTGTGTGTAGTGGGTACTGGGACAAAAAGAAAAATTGGAAAGGGATTCTGGGGAATGTGATAAGGAGTGAACTAGAAATAAATGAAGGATCAGGTGGCAGCACTCCACTGAGGTCAGGAACAGGGAAAGATACAGGGTTCGCTTCATCAGGAAGGGAAGGAAAAGGGAACTTTGGTTTAGAGACTTTAGGAGAGATACAAAGCATCCCTTAACAGTTCTAGGACTCTTAGAACAGGGAGAGAGAGGGCTGGGAGTTCTGTGTGAGAAGGGACTGAGAAGGTGGAAGGAAGAAAGCCACAGAAAAACCGTGCCCACTGCATAGTTTCACCAGACTATTTCTGAGCTTTTTTGTTGTTGTTGTAGATGGTGAGGTGGAAAAGAAAACAGGTTAGTGATTGGTCCTTTTACTTAAAAAAGAAATACTCAGGAAGTTTTGATGACTCAGTAATGAAAGTGATAATGTTTTTGAAGTGTGAAGCATGTAAGATGAATTTTTTTGTAGTTGTTTTTTGTTTAAATTGGAAATGGGGCTATTTTTCCACCTATGAAAGATATATTTCAATTATGGAAGATGATATTTCTACCCACAAGTCAGTTTGGCAACAATGCATTGGATTTCACCTTTGATTTTGTTTTTTTGGGTTTTTTGAGACCATGTTTCGCTCCTGTCACCCAGGCTGGAGTGCAATGGTGTGATTTCAGCTCACTGCAACCACCGCCTCCTGGGTTCAAGAGATTCTCCTGCCTCAGCCTCCCGAGTACCTGGGATTACAGGCACCCGCCACCACGCCTGGCTAATTTTTTGTATTCTTAGTGGAGACGGGTTTCACTATGTTGGCCAGGCTGGTCACAAATTCCTGACCTCAGGTGATCCACCCACCTCAACCTCCCAAAGTGCTAGGTTTACAGGCGTGAGCCACCGCGCCTGGCCCTTGCCTTTGATTTTGGATGGCCAGGCTCTAAATGTTTCAACCGACCTCTGGTGGTTATTCTCCTGGTATGCCCACTACAGTATAGATGTGCAGTCTCCACCAACTCACCAAATGACTGACTGACAGACAGGACCAGTCTCAAAACCCTATATTAAGGTTTAGTCCCCAGCTAAAGTTATAATAATATTTTTAAATTACGGTAAACCCAATAACCATATCTGAAATTTCTCAGAAATTCTAAAATAGCTTTTAAAAAGATCTTAAAATGGAAGATGAATCAATTCAAATACATTTGAGAAGACCTATTCACGGTGGCTTAAAATCCAATATTTGCATTCATGGTGAAATTCTTAAGCACTTTTCTGATGAACGTTAATGGGATTAAAGCTTGTTCTGGAAATCATTTACTGACCTATCCAACTGACTACTAGTCAAGGATTGAGTGAACTTTAGACGTTCTGTCTTTTTCAATCTGTCCTATATTGAGTATCTTACCAGTCTCTTTTTCTATAAAATAAAGCAGTGAATATTTGAATGAACTTGTTAGGGGCCTTTTTTCTTGCATGATATAAAAGCATTGTGGTAATAAAACTTCCATATATGTTCATAATTAAATGATCAGAAAAGTTTTCTTAAATAGCACGTAACAAAAATAATAATGATTCTTTAAATATCATCTAATACCAGGTCATATTTGTATTTGTTGCTGTATTCAGGTTATCACTAAGCTTACTAAAATTCAGGAATCACAGGCCTCTGTTATACAGAAACTCAATAAGGTAATAACAAGCTTTGGCTCTTTTCCTAAAATAGGAAAATCAACATCCATGATAAAGGCAAGAACGTCTTAATCCATGAGCTCTAAACTTTTTTTTTTTTTTTTTGAGACAGAGTCTCCCTCTTGTCGCCCAGGTCAGAGTGCAGTGGCACGATCTCAGCTCCACCTCCCGGGTTCAAGTGATTCTCCTCCCTCAGCCTCCCAAGTAGCTGAGATTTCAGGCACCCACCAACACATCCAGCTAATTTTTGTATTTCTAGTAGAGACAGGGTTTCACCATGTTGGCCAGGCTGGTCTCGAACTCCTGACCTCAGATGATCCACCGGCCTCAGCCTCCCAAAGTGCTGGAATTACAGGCATGAGCCACCACGCCTGGCCCACGAGCTGTAAAGTTTTCTTAGTTTTGGAATACTTTTGATAATTTTGAAGCTGTGGACCATCTTCCTCAGAAAAATGCACATATGCAGACATCAAAAATGTCCACAATTTCAGGGGGGTTCATGGAGCACTTGAAGATCATGTGAGGGTCTAGGACTCTGGTTAAGAACACATGCTTTAAATGTTCCTTCTCAGTTGGTTGCTCTGCTGCTGTTACTAAACAAGAAGGACGCCATCAACAGGACTTGCACAGGCCGGTCGCAGTGGCTCACGCCTGTAATCCCAGCAATTTGGGAGGCTGAGGTGGGCAGATTACTTGAGGTCAGGAGTTCAAGACCAGCCTGGCCAATATGGCAAAAATCTGTCTAAAAATACAAAAATTAGCAAGGTGTGGTGGCACACACCTGTCATCCCAGCTACTTGGGTGGCTGAAGCATGAGAATCCGCTCCTTGGAGGCGGAGGTTGCAGCCTAGGTGACAGAGCAAGACTCTGTCTCAGAAAACAAAGAAAAACAGTTTGATAAATGTGTCCCAATGAAATTACGAAGAAGAAGAAAAAAAAAAGCAGGACATGCACATACCCTGTTTCTTTAGGAGAGAGCATGTGTCACTGCCACGCACTCCAGACCTGGTTGGGAGTACAATGTACAGTCACATGATGTAGTGGCAAAAGCAATGTACTTGGTGGCAGAATTAGATTCTGCCAGCCACTCTTTCAATACTTTCAGAAAATCCATTTAGCCCTTTGGGGAGACAAAGATACGGCTAAGGTTAGGAATTTGTACTGCACGGAGCTCTAGAGTATTACTACCTCCATTTTACAAATTTGGAAACTGAGAATTAGAGAGGTTAAGTAATGTATCTAAAGTAACATGCAGCTCATAAATATTCAGCCAGGCTTCAACATCAGGCTTGTCTGAATCTAAAACTCATGTTTTTTGTGTTTTTTTTTTTTCCAAATTACACCTTTAGTCTTTAAACCGTGCATAAAATAACCTCCTGGGAGTGGTTAGCTGCAGTAGTTTGAAGGCAAAGGTTATCTTTGTCCCTATTGGTTTTATATATCTGACTCTTTTTCTTTTTCAACTTTTCTTTTAGAATCAAGAGATACATGTGCAGGATTGTTACAGAGGTATACTGCATGATGCTGAGGTTTGGGATGTGACTGAACTCGTCACTCTGGTATTGAGCATAGTACCCAAAAGGTAGTTTTCAGTCCTTGCCCCCATCCCTCTCTCCCTCTTCTAGCAGTCCCCAGTGCCTATTCCTATTTTATGTCCACATGTGCCCATTGTTTAGCTCCCATTTGTAAGTAGGAACATGCAGTATTTGGTTTTCTGTTTCTGTGTTAGTTCACTTAGTTAGCATAATGGCCTCCAGCTATATCCATGTTGCTGCAAAAGAATGGTTTCATTCTTTTTTATGGCTGCATAATATTCCATGATGCAAATGTACCACATTTTTTTTTTTTTTGAGACAGAGTCTTGCTCTGTGCCCAGGCTGGAGTGCAGTGGCACAGTCTTGGCTCACTGCAAGCTCCGCCTCCCAGGTTCACGTCATTCTCCTGCCTCAACCCTCCAGAGTAGCTGGGACTACAGGCACCCGCCACTACACCCGGCTAATTTTTTGTATTTTTTGTAGAGATGAGGTTTCACCATGTTAGCCAGGATGGTCTCAATCTCCTGACCTCTTGATCCACCCACCTCGGCCTCCCAATGTGCCAGTATTACAGGCATGAGCCACTGCGTCTGGCCCACAATTTTTTTTTAATTGAAAAAAATTTTTTGGCTAGGCACAGTGGCTCAAGCTTCTAATCTCGGCACTTTGGGAGGCTGAAGCAGGATGATTGCTTGAGCTCAGGAGTTCAAGACCAGCCTGGGTAACACAGTGAGATCCCATCTACAAAAAATTGAAAAAAAAAAAAAAAAGCCAGGCATGGTGGCACTGGCCTGTAGCCCTAGCTACTCAGGAGGCTGAAGTGGATCACTTGAGCCCAGGAAATCAAAGCTGCAATGAGCCATGATTGTGCCATTGCACTCCAGCCTGGGCAAAATAAAATTTATTTATTTCAAGACAAAGTGTCTTGAAAATAATTATTAAATAATTAAACTAATTAAATAACAATTAAGTATTTATTATATTATCTTTATTAAATAAACTAATATTAATAGATATAATTAATTACATTTATCAAATATTTTATTATTTAATTATTTTTATTAACTAAATTAGTTAATTTAATTTAATTATTTTTATTAATGGTAGCTCAACTTTTAGTTCTTTGAGAAATCTCCAAACTGCTTTCCACAGTGACTGGACTAATTTACACTCCCACCAACAGTGTATAAGTGTCCCCCTTTCTCCACAGCCTTACCAGTGTCTCAAAAATAATTATTAAACAATATTTAATTTAAATAATGATAAAATAATTTGAATAAATATTAATTAATTATTTTAATTATTTAATAATTATTTTAGTTATTTTTGAGACAATGAAATTATTTAATTTCAAATAATTAAAAAATTATTTTTAATTTAATGTTTATTTCGAGACAGTCTTGAAATAAACAAAAATAAACATTAAATTAAATAAGTAAACATTAAATTAAATAAACATTAAATAAATTAAATTAACATTAAATTAAGTAAACATTAAAATAAATAAACATTAAATTAAAACAATTAAAACAAATTTTTGTAGAGTCTCTCTTGCCATATTGCCCAGGCTGGTCTTGAACTCCTAGTTTCAAGCAATCCTCCTGCCTTGGATTCCCAAAGTATGGGACTACAGGCATGAGCCACTACACCTGGCTGATACCATTTTTAAATCCAGTCCACTGCTGGTGGGCATCTAGGTTGATTCCATGTATTTACTACTGTGAATTGTGCTGCAATGAACATACAGGTGCATGTGTCCTTTTGGTGGAACAATTAATTTTCCTTTTGGTGTATACCCAGTAATGGCAGTAATGGTATTGCTAGGTTGAACAGTAGCTCAACTTTTAGTTCTTTGAGAAATCTCCAAACTGCTTTCCGCAGTGGCTGGACTAATTTACATTCCCACCAACAGTGTATAAGTATCCCCTTTTTTCCACAGCCTTGCCAACATCTGTTATTTTTTGACTTTTTAACAAAAACCGTTCTGACAGGTGTGAGATGGCACTCATTGAGGTCTTAATTTGCATCTATCTGAGGATTAGTGATGATGAGCTTTTTTCGTTTGTTGGCCCCTTGTATGTCTTCTTTTGAAAATTGTCTGTTCATGTCCTTTGCTCACTTTTTAACGGGGTTGTTTTTTGATTGTTAATTTGTTTAAGTTCCTTGTAGAGTCTGGACATTAGACCTTTGTTGGATGCATAGTTTATGAATAGTTTCCCCGAATCTGTAGGCTGTCTGTCTGTATACTTCCTTGATAGTTTTTTTTTTTTTTTTGTGAGACAGAGGCTCACTCTGTCGCCCAGGCTGGAGTGCAGTGGCAAGATCTCAGCTCACTGCAAGCTCCGCCTCCCGGGTTCACCCCATTCTCCTGCCTCAGCCTCCGGAGTAGCTGGGAATACCGACGCCCGCCACCACGCCTGGCTAATTTTTTGTATTCTTAGTAGAGACGGGGTTTCACCCTGTTAGCCAGGATGGTCTCTATCTCCAGACCTCGTGATCCGCCTGCCTCGGCCTCCCGAAGTGCTGGGATTACAGGCGAGAGCCACTGTACCTGGCCCTACTTCCTTGATAGTTTGTTTTGCTATGCAGAAGCTCAGGTCCCATTTATCAATTTTTGGTTTTGTTGTCATTGCTTTGGGGGACTTAACCAAAATTTTTTTGCCAAGCCCAGTATCAAGAGGGGTAATTCCTAGGTTTTCTTCTAGGCTTTTTATATTAATGGTTTGAGGACTTACATTTAAGCCTTTAATCCATCTTGGGTTAATTTTTTGTACTTGGTGATATGTAGGCGCCCAGTTTTATTCTTCTGCATATGTATCCATATGTATCAGTTATGTCAGCACGATGTGTTGAATAGGGAGTCTTTTCCTCATTGCTTTTGTTGGGTTTGTTGAAGATCAAGTGGTTGTTAAGTATGCAGCTTTATTTCTGGGTTCTCTAATCTGTTCCACTGGTCTACATGGTATCTGACTTGATAAGAATTTTCTAGTCTGCAGAACATTTGAAAACCATTGCGATTTACTTTCCTGTTCACTTTCTACATCTGTGAAAGAGTATAATGATAATATCTACTTTATTGTGAGGGGTAAGTAAGAAGGTGCATATGAAACTTCTGTGTAAACTGTTGGTGTTATTCAGATAGGAGGTATTAACGTAATTATTATATGACAATAAAATAGAAAATTTTTCTCTTTAAAAATCTTCACTGCAATCAACCCACAACCTTGACAGCATGTTTCACACACCTGAAAAAGCATGTTGGCTTTCAGATGGTTCTTGGGTACTAGCATATAGTTTAGATTTGAAGGCTTTATTTAAAGGGTGGTGTCTCAATACATTTTTTGGATGTTTAACTATTAATACACTTTGCAATATACATTTTGCAGAAGGTGGTTATGAATTCCACCATGCAAAAATGTTATGTCTGTGACCTGGTTTGGGGCAACTTTTCTTTTTAAGTGTGATAGTAGCACTGTAGTTGTCCTGCTTCCCTTTTAAATAATAAACTTAAAACATTTTAGAGTACCAAAAATTTGCAGATAGTATAGAGTTCCTACATACTCTGTACCTAGTTTCTCCTTTCGTGAGCATCTTACATCACTCTGGGACATGTGTCACAGCTAAGGAACCAACATAGGCACATTACTATTAACTAAACTACACAATTTATTTGTATTTGACTAGTATCTTTTTCATTATATCATATCAAAGATACATGCTGTCCACATGACTTATCACTAATGATGTTAATCTTGATCACCTGACCAAGGTAGTATTTGCTGTTTACTAGGTTTCTCCACTGTAAAGTTACATCTCCCCCCATTTCCATCCTCTATGCTTTGGAAGCATGTCACTAAGCACAGCCCATATTTAAATCCCTCCTTCTTTTTTGAGATCCATACTGAAATATTTAGAAGTAAAATGACATGATGCCAAATATATATATATTTTTTATTGAGATGGAGTCTCACTCTGTCACCCAGGCTGGAGTGCAGTGGCGATCTCGGCTTACTGCAAGCTCCACCTTCCGGGTTCACGCCATTCTCCTGCCTCAGCCTCCCGAGTAGCTGGGACTACAGGCGCCCGCCACCACGCCCAGGTAATTTTTTGTATTTTTAGTAGAGATGGGGTTTCACCGTGCTAGCCAGGATGGTCTCGATCTCCTGACCTCGTGATCCGCCCGCCTCGGCCTAAATATTTGTTTTAAAATGGTTTAGGAAAGAAAAAAAGCATGAGGAGGAGAAATAGATAAAAATAAGTATGATAACACTCTAATGGCTGTTGAAACTGGTGATGTATAAAGGGAAATCAGATATACTCTACTTTTGCATATGTTTAGAATTTTTCAAAATAAGAGTTAAAAAATAAAAGAATCATCAAAGGAATTTTCCTCCTAAACTGCAGAAGGCTTTCAGGCTGAGATTTCAAGCAGAGAGATGCTCATATTCCCAGGACATATCCATCAGAAAACAGAGCAACTGCAGGCTGGGCTCGGTGGCTCATGCCTGTAATCCCAGCACTTTGAGAGGCTGAGGCGGGCAGATCACCTAGTCAGAAGTTCAAGACCAGCCTGGCCAACATGCTGAAACCCCGTCTCTACTGAAAGTACAAAAATTATCCTGGCATGGTGGCAGGCACCTGTAGTCCCAGCTACTCAGGAGGCTGAGGCAGAGGTTTCAGTGAGCCAAGATCGTGCCACTGCACTCCAGCCTGGGCAACAGAGCAAGGCTCTGTCTCATGAAGAAAAAAAGAAAACAGAGCAATTGCAAGGCACAACTTGAGAAGGATGGGCTTGAATTAATTTGTGTCACCTGCTAGAGGGATTTAACAAAAAGGTCGCCATAGAATGGACTCATGATTGTTTTTCCAGGCTGTGTCAGTCTGCGGACAAAGACAAAGGGAAGCATGAACTCAACTTAAAAATGTCCCATGTTCTAGGTATTAAGCTAGAGGTAAAAGGTTCTGGTATGGCTTAAAAGGATGAAATAATAGGACAGCCTGATTGCTGAAGAGCCAAGAGCTCTACTACCTTTCTGGAGCAAGGTTGACTCTTGCTTTGGCTGAGCCTGTCTTAGTGCATCTGGGCTGCTATAACAAAACACCATAAGCTGGGTGGCTTATAAACAACAGACATTTGTTTCTTACAGTGCTGGAGGCTAGAAAGTCCGAGATCAAGATGCCTGCAGATTCCATGTTTGATGAAGGCTTGCTTCCTCATAGGCAGCACCTTCTCACGTGTCCTCATATGGGGGAAAGGATAAGGATCTCTTTGGCCTTTTTTATAAGGGCACTAATCCCACTCATGACCTAATCACTTCCCAAAGGCCCCACCTCTTGTCCTAGGGGTTAGGATTTCAACCTATGAGCTTGGGGAGACACAGAAATTTAGACCATAGCACTATTCAACAGAAAAAGCCTTTGGTCTGGTTCTGTGAGAGCTTTGAAGAGTTCCAGCACGGTGTGGCCAGGCTGCCTCCGTTATAAGTGACAGAGTGGAAGACAAAGGACACTAAGCAACTTTTCAGGGTCTTCCTTACTCACTAACTCACTCATAACATCTACAAGTCACTAGCTCACTAACAACATCACTTAATCACTAACTCATTAACATCTACAAAGGCCTAGAACCTCTGCCCAACCAGCTTTAGGATCCTCTTTTAGTTTCTCCATGTCCTAGACTCTGTCTCTGAATCCTTTCCACCCCTCTCAGCTCTTATACTCTCTGTACATCTTACCTAAGTTTCATTATGTTTATTCCTGAGCCCTGGCCCCCCACACTCTGGGAATCTACATGTTAATCAAGCCCTGCTCCCCTCTTTGATGTCAGTGCATCAGAGATCATACTTTCAGAAACACTGCCTAAATTATAAAGGGCAGAGGCCATCTTGATGATCTTTGTATTCAATCCATGTTTTTGATGAATGAATATATGAATGAGTGAATTAATTTACACTCTGTGACTAGATGAGAAAGATGGATCTATAATTAATTTTTATTATCAGCTTTGGATAGAGTATCAGCAATGGGAATCTTGGTTTATTCTCAGAATCAACTAGCCACGTGAAATTATAACAAACATAAAATGTTGACACTTAGGGGACTTAAAAGATTTGTCCAGAATTTTCTGGCTTCAAAGTGGCTCATTTCATCTACCTTTACCAACTTCACTACACTGATTTATTGATTTATTTTTTAAATACACACCACTTTATTGTGGCAATTATGCTAGGCACTAGAGAAAAAGAGATGAGCAAGAAAGGATCCTTGCAATCAACAGCTCCATGGTAGAAAAGAAAGACAGCAACTACAATACGGTGTCTTAAGTACTAAACAAAAGAGAATGCATTTTCCAGCATCCACCTTAAAAATCATCCATGTAATTGCATGATGAGAGTGTGTTAAATTTCTGGAGAGGTTTGGCCTCTATTTTCTTCGGCTAATGAATCCAAACAACTCCCCATTCCTTACTTTGTTCCCTGAGTTCTCTGGCTTTAAGAACCCACCCAGCCAAGCCTCTCAACTCCATTTTTGGCACTTTCTCCCACCCAAGAGCCAGTACCAGGCATGGCAAACCAACTCATTTAGCTTGGAGCTCTCAGGCAGCCCACACGTTAAGGGAAATACAACAAGTTCTGTACTTGTATGGTTTCCTTAAGATAAAAAGCACAACACAAGTGGAAAGAACTTTGAATGTCTGGGACACAATATGGTAGAGTAGAAGAAACAGTATATGGGGAATCTGGTGGGAGACAATACTGATAAATAAGGCCTTGCTTTTTTTTTTTTTTTTTTTCTTTTTTTAGCACAAAGTCTTCAGTCCCCAAAGCCCTTTCCTGTGCTAAGTCTGTGACACTGAGCAAGTCACATAGTGTTTCTGGACCTTGGTTTCCTTATCTGTAAAATGAGGGGGTTGGAGTTGCTTATCTGTAAGTTCCCTTCCAGCTTGAAAAGTCTGATAAGCACTTTTATCTACCCTATGACTTCATGTAAAGGTCCAGTTAGGCTACTCATCCCCTCCCCTAGCTCTAGCTAACCTGGGGTTATGCCATTCAAATATAGGAACATGAAATAAAAGAACTGAAAATTATTTTGCGTGTATGGTGGGGTATGGGACATTTTAATCCTAAAATTAAACAGGACACAGTTCTGTAAAAAAGTTATATGGGGGCTGGGCGCGGTGGCTCACGCCTGTAATCCCAGCAGTTTGGGAGGCCGAGGCGGGCGGATCACAAGGTCAGGAGATCGAGACCATCTTGGCTAACACGGTGAAACCCCGTCTCTACTAAAAATACAAAAAATTAGCCAGGCGCGGTGGCGGGCGCCTGTAGTCCCAGCTACTCGGGAGGCTGAGGCAGGAGAATGGCGTGAACCTGGGAGGCGGAGCTTGCAGTGAGCCGAGATTGCGCCACTGCAATCCGGCCTGGGCTAAAGAGCGGGACTCCGTCTCAAAAAAAAAAAAAAAAAAAAAAAAAAAAAAAAAAAAAAAAAGTTATATGGGAAAAGTGAAAGCACATTGAGATAGCCAGCAGGGAGCAAAGCACCCCAGACTTATGACATAGTCTGCACAGGCCTTGGTAATCAGAATAAATGTCCTTTCATCATTTCAGTTACAGTATGTTTGGTCATTGACTAGGCATGTATGTACTGTTGCAGGATACTAGGTTAGATCCTGAAAATATTGAGGGGAAAGCAAGCTGAAAACTCAATTACTTGGCCAGAATACAATTACATTTAAAACCGCTTTAGGATTTAAGAAGATTAAGCAACTTCCAAAAAAATAGGATAAACAATTAAACTTTTACAATAAATATTGAAGGATTAAAGCTCTATATTAAAATTTCTATGCATACTTGTTAGGAAATTCTCAAGGAATGAAAACAGAAAAATGCTGTTTTGAAAGTGCTTGCCAAATTTTTAGTAAAAATAGTTTTCTGCATTTAGGGAAAGTGTAATACTGGTATTTTAGATAGAGTGTTGTGTTTGCCTTTGAGTTTAAATAGTACCAGATAATTAAGAAAATTTCTCCAAACCTATTTAATACAAAAGAGATGTAATCACTTGCCATTATTATCCCAAAAGCACTAGGCTTTTAAAGAAAACTCTCTATCTACCTATCAATGAGAAACAAGAAATAAAAACAATAAAACCACTGTTTTATTTTTATTTTTCTATTTTGGGATTTACTTCAGGCAGTTCAACTCCAGGGACCATGCTCTTCACCTCAGATCACATTATATGGAAGACAGCACGTGGAAGTTCAGGCTCCTTCAGGCAGTCTGAGGTCCAGCACAAAATTGGAAAGAGGAAGGGTAAGAGGTAAGACCAATTGGAAAATAATGAAGAATGCTACCAATGTACAGAAATAGAGTCTTTGTAAGGCAGCGGTAATGTCAGTGAAAAACAGCAGTAATGTCAGTGAAGGCTGCCGGGGAGCTGGAAGGGTAGACTAATTGGACAAAGGAAAATTGGAGCTTTATTTTCTAAAGAAAAGCTGTTCAAGATGATGATAAATTCTTGGGTGGGCCTCTGGGAGTAACTTTAAGTATAATGAGAAACTAAAGTCATTCTAGTGAAAAAGTTTCAATAATTGAGAATTACAGATTTAGATGGATCTGTTACATGAATGTTGAAATCTACTAATAATATGGTATGTATGATTGTTGCTTTTGGGAAATTATAAAAAGCGTACTTTTTGGCCTGGTCCAATGTTGTTAATTTTCTGTGAGAGATTTGAAAAGCATCCACATTCTTAATTTATTGGGGTTGCTTTGCTTTGTTTCTACAAATTCTGAGAGCTTCTGTCTTTTAATAAGGAAGTTTAAATATTTATACTTATTCTGATATGTTTGTGCTTATGCCAGCTACATTATTCTTTGGTTACAAGCAAAAGTAGAAACTAACTCTCGCTAACGTGAGCAAAGGGGAGAATGCTGAGGACACAGAATTGATGGTAAGGCTTGAAGAATATGGTAGGCTTTAGTTTCCAAAAATACTGCAATAGTATCTTCCATCCCACATGCTCTTCTTCAGTGCAACTTAGATAATCCTCTTATTGAAAGGTGGCATCTCTGCATCCTCCCCTTGAGTCCGGGTAGATTCATGACAGTGGTGGAAATGAAGTCGCATGACTTCTGAGGCTAGGTCAGAAAAGGAAATACAGCTTCTACCTGGTTCTCATGGGATGCTTGTTCTTGCAACTCAGACACTATGCCATGAAGAAGCTCCAACAGACCGTGGAGAGACCCACCCGGAGAGGAAGAGAAGCTCCCAGCCATCAGCCCTGGCTGAGCACTCCTGATAGCCTAACACCACACTTGCTAGGCATGTGAGCAAGCCATTTTGGAAGTGGGTCCTCCAGCCCTACCTCATGCTCTGTGGAGCAAATGAGAATTCCCCACGAAATCCTGCCCAAATTACACATTTTCAAGCTACAGAAATGACTGTTACTGTTTTAAGTCATTGAGTTTAGAGGTGGTTTGTTTGTTATAAAGCAATAAATAACTAGCACAGAGAACCAAGTTTGGAAACGAACAAGATACAAGGAAACAAGGCTTCCTATTCCTCGAACTAGGAAAGAGGAGTGGTCTCTAGTCATACCTTATGGGTAGGGTAACACAACTGGAATGAATTAACACTAATCATTTTCAGCCCTGCCATTCTTCTGAAGTTCCAGGTTTTGGTGAAGGGTCCTTCCACTGTTCCAATTTCAGTCACCTCCTCACCCTTTGTCTACCAATGAGCAGAAAACCTGAGTGACAGCCACAATAATCTGTAACCAAGGGAAAAGAGACAATGATTTAAAAATAAAAATGGATAAAAGAAGTTTGTATTCATTTTTTTAAATCACTGCTGTGACAAATCACCTCAAAATTAGTGGCTTTACTTAAATAACACAAATCTATTATCCTATAGTCAGAAGTCCAAAATGGGTCTTTCTGGGCTAAAATCAAGATGTTAGTAGGGGCCAGGCATGGTGGCTCATCCCTGTAATCCTAACACTTTGGGAGGCTGAGGTGGGAGGATCCCTTGAGCTCAGGAGTTTGAGATCTGCCTGGGCAACATAGTGAGATTTCATCTCTACAAGAAAATTGAAAAATTAGCCAAGCGTGGTGGCCTGCGCCTGTAGTCCCAGTTACTTCAGTGGCCAAGGTGGGAGGATCCCTTAAGTGCAAGAGATCAAGGCTGCAGTGAGCTGTGATCTCACCACTGCACTCCAGCCTAGGAATGCAGTGACAAGTGAGCAAGACCCTGTCTCAAAAAATAAAATAAAATAAATGAAAAGGGCCTGCTGCAGTGGCTCATGCCTGTAATCCCAGCACTTTCAGAGGCCAAGGTGGGAGGATCATCTGAGGTCAGGAGTTCAAAACCAGCGTGGCCAACATGGTGAAACTCCATCTCTACTAAAAATACAAAAATTAGCCAGGCATGGTGGCACATGCCTGTAATCCCAGCTACTCAGGAGGAGAATCACTTGAACCCGGGAGGCGGAGGTTGCAGTGAGCTCCACTGCACTGTAACCTTGGCGACAGAGCAAGACTCCATCAAAAAAAAAAAGAAAGAAAGAAAGAAAAAAAAATGTTATCAGGGCTGCATTCCTTTCTGGAGGCTCCCGGGGACAATGTGCTTCCTTGCCTGATTCAGCTTCTAGTGGCTGCCCATATTCCTTGGTGTATGTGTGCCCCTTCCTTCATTTTCAAAGCCAGCAATGTTATATTTCTCAGTGCCTTTTTCATATTACATCTTCCTCTAACTCTGAGTCCTTTTCTGACTCCCTCTTTTACTTTTAAGGAACTTTGTGATTACTTGGGTTTACTCTGATAATCCAGGAAAATCTCCTCATCTCAAATGCCTTAACTGAATCACATCTGCACAGTCCCTCTTGCCTTGTAAGGTAACGTAATTACAGGTTCCAGAGATTGGAACGTGGACGTCGATGAGGGGCCATTATTCTGCCTACCACAGTATACCAAAGCAGAATGGATACTGGGTGGGCCCCACCACTCTAAAAACTTGTTCTTCATACTACTCATTCTGGTTGATATTTTTTCTTTTCTTTATTTTATTGAATTCATAGTTACTCTTGTTTCATTTTTTTTCCATTCAAGTAGCCTGTACTTTAAACATCCAATTTGTATCCATCTATGTGGTGACCTTATGTTTATTATGCATAATTGATATACTTTTCTGTGTTTAGAGATAGTATCTATATACATCTCCAAATAAGACAAAAAAATCTTAGCATGCTTTTCCTCCTCTTCTTGCCTTTTATCCTTGTGATAACATCATTTAGTTATAGACTATCATTATTTATTTTTATTAACTAGCAATGATGAAAACAATTAAAAATTTAAAATTTTCTATAACAGAAAGTGGTTGGGTGCAAAAAACAGAATACTCCACTAAAGCTGACTTAAACCATGAGAAAAACTTATGTCACACAAAAAGAAATTCAAAGACAGTTTGTTCCTGGGTTAGTTAATGTAGTGATTCAATGGTGTCATGCAGGATCCAGGTTCTTTTCATCTTTTCACTTTTTTTGAAGCTCCTCCCACCCTGGTAGGAAGAAGACTTCTATAGTTCCAGCTATTATATCCTCACACAACCCTGTCTGAAAATAATGTATTAGTTATCCCTTCCTGCATAACACATCAAGCAACTTAAAACAACAATAAAGTTTATTATTTTAATAATATGATTTCTGTGGGTCAGGGATTCGGGAGCAGATTGGTTGGGTGCTTCTAGCTTAGGATCTCTCATGAGGTTTCTGTCAGAATCAGCTGAGACTGCAGTCATCTGAAGGCTTGACTGGGGCTAGAGATCCACTTCAAAGCGACTCATCAACATGGCAGGCAGGTTGCATGAATATCTGTGGGACAAGATGGCTGGCTTCCCATAGAGCTCTGGTTCTTATTGTGGGTGATTTTTCTCACCAGGGGGCATTTAGCAATATCTGGAGACGTGTTTGGTTGTCATAACTGGAAAGTTGCTATTGATATCTAGTGGGTTGGAACTAGAGTTACTGCTAAACATCCTATATGACACAAGACAGCCTTTCACAACATGAATTATCAGGCCCAAAATGCCAATAGTGCTAATGTTAAGAAATCCTGCCTTAGAGCAAGTGAGCCAAGAGAGCAAGGTAAAAGCTGAAATGCCTTGTATTACCCAGCTTTGGAAGTCCTCTGTATTCCATGTTGGAGGGATCCACACAAGGGTGTGAATACCAGAAAGTGAGGCTCATTGGAAATCATCTTGGGCATAGCTACCATGGGAAGGAAGCTTTTCCTGGCCATTTCTCTTGTTTTGTCTTCTCTTCCTTCCTTCTTCCTTCATTTCTTCCGATCTTCCTTCCCTATTCCTTGTTTCCTTTTCTTTTTTCAACTTTCAAAGAGGAAAACCATTTCTTTTCTTTTCTTTCTTTTTTTTTTTTTTTTTTTGGAGACGGAGTTTCGCTCTCGTTGCCTAGGCTGGAGTGCAATGCCGTGATCTGGGGTCATCGCAACCTCCGCCTCCTGGGTTCAAGCAATTCTCCTGCCTCAGCCTCCCGAGTAGCTGGGATTACAGGCATGTGCCACCACGGCTGGCTAATTTTGTATTTTTAGTAGAGACGGGGTTTCTCCATGTTGGTCAGGCCAGTCTCAACCTCTCGACCTCAGGTGATCCGCCCGCCTCGGCCTCCCAAAGTGCTGGCATTACAGGCGTAAGCCACGGTGCCCGATGGAGGAAAACCATATCTATAAGCCCTACCAGACTTCTCTGCACTTCTCAGTAGTCAGTGTTGAATGATATGCCTATGTCTAAACCAATCATTAGGAGAGAGAATAGAATGGGGCTGGGGAGAATCTATATGTTTTACACACATGGAGGGTAAATTGTCAAAATCGGTGTTTTACTAGTAAGGAAGAAAGAATGGCTTTGAGCAGGTAACAGAGTTTGCTACCTTTGTTTATCATTGTCTTTTGTAACACACACTTTGTTTTTGGATTCAGTTTACTCTTTGGTGGAAGACATTCTCTAAAAGTAATTTCAAGGATGGGCAGCAATCTCAACTCTTACATATCTGAAAATATGTGTCATTATTTTGTACCCTCTCTTAAGTGCTAATTTAGTTTGGTAGTCTAGGTTAAAAACAATTCCCTTAGAGGCTGGGCGTGGTGGCTTGCACCTGTAATTCCAACATTTTGGGAAGCCGAGGTGGAATCCCAGGAATTTGAGACCAGCCAAGGAAACTTACTGAGACTCCAGCTCTAAAAAAAAAAAAAAAAAAAAAAAAAAAAATTAGCCAGGCATGGCAGCACGCACTTGTGGTCCCAGCTCAGTTATTGGGTGGTGGTGGGGTTAAGGTAGTTAAGGTGGGAGGATAGCTTGAACTCACTGAGGTCCTGCAATGAGCCAGCCACACACTCCAGTCTGGGTGACAGAGAGAGACTGTGTCTCAAAAACAAAACAAAACAAGACAAAACACCATTACAATGATTTCCTTAGAATACTGTTCCATTGTCTATTAGCATCCATTGTTGCTGATGAGAAGGTAATCCAGTTAAGATTTACTTTTTATCCTTCATGCTCTGAAATCTCACTGTGAGGTGTTTAAGTGTGTTATTTTTTACCTATGCATTTGGCTCAGAGCTAAATGAGAGCTTTTTACTTAAAGATACTGGAATATTTTCTTTTTTTCATTCTTGTTGCCCAGGCTGGAGTGCAATGGCACGATCTTGGCTCACTACAACCTCCACCTCCAGGGTTCAAGCAATTCTCCTGCCTCAGCCTCCCTAGTAGCTGGGATTACAGGCATGCATTGCCACACCCGGCTAATTTTGTATTTTTAGTAGAGACGGGGTTTCTCCATGTTGGTGAGACTGGTCTTGAACTCCCTACCTCAGGTGATCCGCCCTCCTCAGCCTCCCAAAGTGCTGGGATTACAGGTGTGAGCCACCGTGCCCAGTCAAGATACTGGAATATTTTCTACCATTTTTTGAGTATTTCCTTCCATCCATTCTCTAGATCCCTTATCAGATGAATATTGGGCCTTCTGGATTTATTCTCCATGTTACTTAAATTACTTAAATGCCTTGGACTAGGTAATTTATAAACAACAGAAACAGAATTGCTCACAGTTCTGCGGCCGGAAAGTCCAAGATCAAGATATCAGCGGATTTGAAGTCTGCTGAGGGCTCCTTTCTCACAGATGGCCCCTTCTATGCATCTTCATGTGGTGGAAGGGCGAACAGGCTCCCTCAAGCTTCTTTTCTCAGGGCACTAATCCAGTTCATGAAGGATCTGCCCTCATGATCTAATCACCTCTTAAAGGTTCCACCTCTTAATACTATCACTATGGGGGTTAGGTTTCAACACATAAATTTTGGGAGACACAAACATTCAGATAGAACAAATGCTTAGAAAAATATCTGCAGCATAGTATTACTTATTATTCAAATTTTCTATTCATTTTTATAAAGAGGGTCTCCCTCTGTCGCCCAGGCTGGAGTGCAGTGGCTTATCTTGGCTTGCTGCAGCCTCAACCTCCCGGACTCAAGCAATTCTTCCACCTCAGCCACCCTAGTAGCTGGGATTGCAGGGGTGTACCACTATGCCCACCTAATTTTTGTATTTTTTGTAGAGATGGGGTTCTACCAAGTTGCCCAGGCGGGTCTCGAACTCCTGGACTCAAACTATCCTCCCAACCTGTCCTCCCAAAATGTTGGCATCACAGGTGTGAGCCACCACCGTGCCTGGCAGAAATCTTTAGCAAAAAAATTAGGTATCATTGTTGGAGTCTCCTTTTCCTCTTCCTCTTTTCTCATTATCCTGAAGTTAATCTGTATCCTTACTGCCTGTATCCATGCTTTATATAGTTTACTACATATTTATACATATGTAAACAGCATAGTGTATTATTCGGCAGGTTTTCAAACTGCACATAAATGGTGTCAGTTCTCTTAATCCTTCAGATTACATCAAGAAAAAAATCTCAAGTCTTGAATGTTTTTCCTGGTATTTGCTATTCTCTCTTTTAACAAACTAAGAGTAGGCCTTAGGCTAGAAGCCCAGAGCAGGAATTGATGGCTAGCTAGAATTTAATAATACTTCTTTATTTTCCATTATATTTATTTTAATGGTTTCCTCCCCCCTTTTTTTTTCAAAGCAAGTGTTGTTGGCTTTCCATTTAGAGTAGTGATTTATGTTTTCTTTTATATTAAGTGTAAGAAAAAAGTGTTGATTTAAAGAAAAATGTTAAGTAAGTGGTAAAATAGTACAGGCAATACAGAGACATAGGAAAAAATTAGGAAATTTATACTGGAATAGCTGAAATTTGATACACACTTGACCAAAAGGAAAAAGTTCAAGTTCCTCCTTCTCACCTTCCTTTACCAGTTGGAGGTCCCTTTGATACTGCAATCTCTCCTTTTATGGTATTTCCTGCAGCCCACACCCCTGCCTTCCCCTGGCTGTCTCATCAACTTCTCAGGCTCTTAGGAAGCCCTCCTCCATTTAGCACCTGGCATCATACTGCATCTATAACTTTCTCATCTAAAACTAAACTAAATCTGAATGCCAACTTGGCACCCTCGTGGCCCAAACAGCTCACTAATGTCAAAAAAGTTGATCTGTTTGTGATGTTTCAAATATAATCATGAGTATAAAACGAAGGCTTTCCATGGAAAAAATATTTAACTCATATTTCCTTATGTTTGCAGTTTTAAAAAAATAGTTGTTTATAGATCTTAATACTTGATCTTAAATTATCTTCTTTCAACCCTGAGACAATACATTAACCTGTTGTCTAGATGAACGGTAAAAAAACAGGAACACAGAAGAGAAAAAAACAAAGACAATGATGGGAAATAATCTGTTTTTTTTTTTTCATTTCGACGTGGTGGCTTACTGCACGTTACTTACTATGTCGAACCAGATGATTTTAGTAAAAAATGAGTTTAGTAATTTAGTATAACACGTTCAAATGTTTACATACAACGTTTACAGGCAAAAGCTACCAAACTGTTGTGGCCATTGAGATGTTGGAACAATTTTCAAGTTTCATGGTGCATGATCCACAATGCATATGAATACATACAATATCAGTAACAAAAACAGTACAATGTACACCAAAGGTTGTTTCAAAGTCCTCTAATGTCTGCAGTCATGATGAACTAACTGCACTGGCTTTCATTCATTCATTCATAAGACTTATTTTGAAGCTGATCTTCATACTGCATGATTAAGAAACCATCAGTGCAGTGGTCAGAATTACATTCTGCTGTTAACAGAGGAGCAAAGAATGCTTTCAAAGCTACTGCTGTATTTGGAAAAAAGTTCAGTTTTAGTGTTTTCTTTCTAGGTATTTTGCATGGCTAAGGCGGGAGAAGAAGGGCTGCGCGGGGATTGGGGGAAGCGACTTCCCACTCTTGATTACAGAAGGAGAATCATGTATACCACTGTAAAACATCCAACCTTTAAATGAGAAAGTGAGTGAAGTGAAATCGCTCTCACGTACACATCTTCCGCGTTACTTCTTATCCGCCAGCCAAACTTTCTCCATCAATCTGGGTAGGTCTGCCACGAAAACGCAGCCTGAAAGAAATGCTGAGTCCTGAGGCGGCGTGTGTTGCCTCACCCAGTGTTGGCTTTGGAGTTACCTGAAGCCTTCTAGCTACTGCACCCAGAGAGCAAGCTTCTCGTTTCAACTCGGTTGTTTCCGTGGGGAATTGCGGCACGAGCAAGTCCTGGGTGTGGCGATGCCAAGAGAGCGCTCAGATCTCCCATCTTTCCCGCTTCTGGCAAACCTTCCCAGCCCCGAATCGGCGAGTGACCAGCACCCGGGATCAGCCGTCCGGCATTCCGGGGACCGCGGGTGGACCCGACCCCGCCGCAGCTGCAAACTGCCGAAGCGCCCAGCTGGGTGCACTGTGCGTGTGCGCTTCTTCCCTACTCTTTCCGCGCCTGGAGGCGGATCCCCTTCCTTGCACACAAGTCCTTATATGCACCGGTTGCACCAGCCCGCGTTACTCCGGCCCCACAAATAATTAATGGGGGAGGGAGGGTGTCGCTTTTTTTTCCTCCGGCTTTTTCTCAGCGCGAGAGCATTTGAACCGAGGAGAAACCCCAAGACGCGACTGAAGGGCCATTTTGCTGCAGTGCACGAATTGGCCACACAAAAATAGAGCTTGGGTCCCTATGATAACAAGTCAAGGTTCAGGAACAGCCCCTTCGGGTTCGGCCCGAGGAGCCCGCAAAAGCCTGGGCGGAAAGGGTGCGCGCCCCTCCCCCCTCCACGCTGGTGCAGAGGGACCGGGTCAGGAAGCGCGGCCTCTCCCCAGTCCAAGACCACGCCTCCTCCGCCTCCCCACTCCCCCTTCACTCCTCCCAGGAAGCGGTGATAGACAGTTCTGCGTGGTTCTCCACCCCCACCCTCCCCCTGCTGAGTGGAGGAGTTGATGTGTCTCATTATAACAGCCAATGCAGCCGCCATCCACGCACAAGCAAAGAAGCATGTCCCATTTAAATACACCCACGCAGCCCCAGCGCCCTTAGCCGATCGGGGCGCTCAGCCCACACGCACCGCTGCTCGGGGCTTGGAGATCCGCGCAGGCTGGGCTCCCGGACCCGGCGGACCGACGCGCGGAGGATCGGGATCCGGCGCTGTGGGGCTGGGGTGGGCGGGGGAGGCTGGGCCCGGGGCCTCTGGCGCGACACCCGCATGAGGACGCGAGTGAAATAGACCAAGGTGGAATTTCCAAGGGAAAAGCTTCGGGGTGGTTTTGGTCCATTTCTCCAGCGAAGAAGTAGACATGGCGAGCGACTCCCCGGCTCGAAGCCTGGATGAAATAGATCTCTCGGCTCTGAGGGTGAGCAGGACGTTTTCTGGTTTCTTTCCAGTGGTTTGGGTTAGGGTGAATGGGCTCGGTGCGTGGACTGGGGGCTGGGGCTGGGGCAGGGGGACAGCAGCGGGAGAATGCGTCGGGGAGGGAACCTGGATTCCCGTTTTGATTCGGGGTTGCTGAGGTGCTCCTGGCTGAGCCCCTACGGCAGGGGCTGTGCGGTACGTGTCTTCCTCTGGCCGTGGCTTAGGCTCTCCCGAGGGCTCGTAGAGCTTATGCCAGTTTCATCTTATACCGGTGTAAGAGCATTAAAATGAAAGGCGTGTGTGCGTGTGTGTGTGTGTGTGTGTGTGTGTGTACACGCCCCGGGCAGTTGTCTGGTGCCAAGGCGCGAGACCCGACTGTCCCTTCTGCAAAAAGAATGCCAGCGTGAATAAAGGCACTGGCCCCTCACGTTTTCCAGCTACCTGCAAGATGACATTGTGAGGCTGGCTGTCCCCGCGAAGCCGAACCTGCCGCTCCAAGGGGGCAGTTATTGCTATGCTGGTCTTGTAGATGGCAACTGCCTCCCCCTCCCCCTTTTCTACCTCCCGCGCCCGGGCGCCCTCTCAGCGCTCCCTTAAATGCCAGTCTGCCACTCACCTTTATTTATGGCTTTAACTCAGCCCTGCCTGTTCTTTCTGACTTTGTGGCTGTAACGTTTCAGTTTTATGGCTGAACTTAAGCAGGTGAAAGGGATGTGTTTTCTGCTTTTCCTCAATCAGACCGGAACTCCCTGGAGTGTGTGCGAGTGTGTGTGTGTGTGTGTCTGTGTGTGTTTTCCCCGTGTCTGTGGCCAGTCCTTTGTAGAGCACCTCCCTCCCCCCAGCCCCACTGGTTTGCGTTTACCTTCACGTGAATTACCTCAGACGCCGTTTCATTGTATTGACTAAGACATCACTGATATAGAATCCATTTTGCTGTTGTTTTGAGATCAGAATACCAGGAATCCAAGTGCTGCTTCGACGCTTCCCCACCCCCAACTCCCGATCCCAACACACTCCTTTGGGGAAGGGGGCAGAGCTTTCTTGCCATTTTAATTAGATGCTGCCTGCCTGGAAGGGGGTGAGGGGTGGGGATGGTGGCAGCAGCGGGTGTCTGAGAAGGATTGGACACCAATTTAAGGACTGCTTCTTCCTCTCCCGAACCAAAAATAAAATTAAAAAGAAAGCGAGTGCATATACTTGATGTATGGAGGGTGGATGAGAAGGAATTCATGGTGGCTCTCTACAGGGAGACACCAGGATGGATGAAGCATGGAAGTTCACACGCCCTCCTGAGGAATACATTGTTAGATTGATGCTGAATCTTGGGGCCATTTACCTGGATTCCTAGTACTTCTGACATTGCCGCTATCTGCACTGATATATTAAAGTGCTACCTTTGTGATCAAAGTGGTACTTTCTCTTTGGTCTCCTTAATTAAACCTTTTCCTCCACATCTCTTTGAATAAGTCTTTCTCTCTTCGTCTTAATCTGTTGGGCTAAGAGATGAGGTTTCAGCAAGGCAAGTAAGGAGTTGAGAAGAAACAGAGATGCCGTTTGAAATGGGCTGTTCTGATAGTTGGGCAGCCAAAGCTCATTCATGCATTATTACAGGAAGCTGTCTATTTCCCTGGAGTGGAAATGCCACATCAAGAACCGGCTGCCCCCTGCGCAGCGGGGTGGGGTTGGTAACAGGGTGGGTGCATTGGCCAGGTCTGTGGCTTCCTGCTTTACCGACTGTGTGTGTTCATTTGCCCTACTTTCTACGCTGGGAGTTGCTGCCGGCGAGTTAATCAGGTGGATGGATGGCCCCGACTGGGGGTGGGGTGCTGCGAATCGGTCGGAGGTCGGGGTGGGGGGCGGGAAGTGGCAAAGGGGGAAGGGGTCTGAACAATGCGCAGGGCTTGCGGTGATTTCCCTGGGCCGGAATCTCGACCTTGCTCCTCTACTGGAAAGCAGTCTGATGTGATTTTAAGTTGGGCCGGGACTTGTCCCTTATGGGCTTTTTCCTCGGGAAGGTTTTCTGAGATACCAAGCACGGAGCCTGCAGGCAGGGGAGCAACCGGTGAGGGCCCACTGGGCGGACGACTGCGGTTCACACTTGGGATGTGCTTTCTTGTGATCTGTATTTTGAAAATATATCTTTGCACAATTCACTGAAATTGCTCTTTGTGGCCTGGGCTATCAGCTTAGGGCTCTGCTTCTGTTTTTCTGCCTGCTGGGAGGTGTGGAAACAGAGAGGGCAACAGCTAGCTTGGGGACCAGGAACTGCTGGCTAGAAGACTTAGATGCAGATGTGGAGACAGTTATATCCTGGAGGGCCAGGGTCTTTGACCAGTCTTGTGGGTGAGGTGTGTCTGCTGGAGTGGGTCCAAAGGCCACATAGGTAATCTCCACAAATCAGAGGGCAGATCATCTCCACCTTGCCACATTTGGAGAGGTGGCCTCATCTAGATGAGATGTCTCATTTGTTCCTAAGCCCTTGGTAAAGTCTGCCTGCTGAGCCCCTCCTGGGGAATGCCTGACCCCTGAAATGCAGCCAAGGTCAGTGGCTTCTGGGAGAATTTGCTGCAGACTTACCAGTCCCTCGCTGTTTCGGTGGCTCTTTAATGTACACAGTCAATGCTCTTTTTGTAAACCCTGGGCTCAAAGCATTAAAAGCAGATCCTGTCTAGAGAGGCCTTTATCCTTCTCACTTTGGGGGCTTATTGTTCTCAGCCAGTGATTCCAGACCGGACCCAGTCTAAATTTTCCCCAAATAGCAACAATGCATAATTTAAACCAGAGCAACCAATGACAGCACTGATCATTTAAATTATGCAAGATTTGCATGGTTTAAAAGTGAGTGAAGCAGGATCTTCTTTGGTTAGAAAATAGGTACTTTGAATCCAGTTTTAGCCCTGATTTTTAGAGCTCAGAGATAAACTAAATCTTGAGGGATGGGCTGGAATTGTTTTATAGATTCAGAGCTGGAAAGAGAATTGTAGAACACTCAGCCACTCCTTTCATTGAACACTTGGGAAACTGAAGCCCAGAGGCGTGAAGTAAGTTGTTCAAGGTCACACAGTAACAAGGGGAGGGGACAGCGAGGAGCGTGGTTTGAGGAAATAATCTAGATTTCCTGACTCCTCATTCAGTGCTCTTTTCTCTAAGTCACACTTTCTGTGGTGGAATCAGAAATCAATAATACATTTTCTGCCTGAGTACAAAAGAATAGCAGAAAGGAATAATTTCACCAGGGTCAGGGAATTTTATTTATTGAGAATGGCGAAACTACTTCATGCAAGTAAGCTTGTGATACATGAAACCATGGAGCTCTAGGCCACCTTTGGAATTCATCTTGTCCAGCCCTGGTTCAATGCCTACTCTGCAGGCAAACGACTGTCTGAAATCACCTAGGACACATGGTTGTCCTGCACAGGTAACCTCTCTGAGTAACCTGTGTCCATCAGAGCATGTCTCAAGGGGTCAGTATAAACATACATGTTATTCAGATGGCTCTGCATGTGAGGTTTATAGAGTTGTGTGTATGTTTTGTATTATCTATGTGGATACATATATTATGTGTAGTATTATGGATATAAACCGTATCCACGTGGGTGTATGAAAATGTGTGTATACATACATAGGCTACAGCAAACAATTTACTCATTCAAACCTGGGGCTTGAGTCATTCTTGCTTCAAGACATCTCAGTATTAAAAGAGATGAAAGTTGCCACCAGTGTGCTTTATTACATATGAGGCGAGCTCAGCCCAGAAAGCTTTTTGGAGATTAGCATATTTCTGGACCTAAGCACCTTGGCTGTCCTTAACTTGGCCCACAGGGTAAGGCATTCAAGGCCAGGAGTTGGCTGCTGCTGACCTCATACTCTCAGCTTCTGCCAGGACTCACATACACTTTTGTATTTGAACAAAATTAGATGATCTACACTTGTCTTTCCCCTTAGCCCTCATTCCCTAGCCATTCCTTTCTCCATTGAAACCCAGATTTAAGAATTGACCTCATCTGAAAGCCTTGCATACATCCCTTTGCTACACTTTTCATGCTCATGTTTTACTTGGTGTGTGATTTCCTTTCTGCTTCTTTACTAAACCGTGGACTTCTTGAGGGCAGAGGCTAGATCTTGTTCATCTTTGGAGCCATAGTCTCCATTAGTTGGATGAATGAGTACGTGAATGAATGCTTGAATGAATGGAGTGGAATGAACCCTGTCTCCCCAGTTCTATGTCCACCTCTTATTCACTCTGTGACTTTGGGTAGGACATTTAACCATAGTTAATAAGAATCATCACAACTGTTTGCCTTTCTCACATACTGGTTTCAAAATCAATAAAGTATTTAAGGCAATGCTTTAAAAACCATACAGCACTGTACAAATATGCTATCCCATGGTTAAGTAGAATTTAGTGGGAAAATTGATACCATCAACATTTGATTGCAATGATTTTATCTAATAGAAAATTATCTTTCCTGGGCACAGTGGCTCACACCTGTAATCCCAGCACTTCGGGAGGCCGAAGTGGGAGGACTGCTTGAAACCAGGAGTTTCAGATCATCATGGGCAATGTAGGGAGACTCCATCTCTAAAAAAAAAAAAAAAAAGTCAGTGTGGTGGTGTGTGCCTGTGGTCCCAGCTAATTGGGAGACTGAGGTGGGAAGATAGTTTGAGCCTGAGAAGTCGAGGCTGTGATTGTGTCACGGCACTCCAGCCTCAGTGACAGAGTGACATCTTGTTTAAGAAAAAAAAAAGAAGACTAAGAAAAGAAGGAAAATAATCTTCAGAAAAAGATATCAGAAGGTTCCGACTCTTTTTAACAGTACCTCCACAGACCTTAGCTGCCTTTTTCCTTTTGTGTACCAATGTGACCTTGTATGTTTCTTTGATGGCCTGAATTGAGCTTTGCGCCCCCAGTATTAAGCATTCATTACATATGAGGTAAGTGCAGCCCTGAAGTTTTTTGGAGATTAACATATTTCTAAACTAGTATCAACTATCAGCATTGTTCATTAAAACCTTCTTTTTTAAAAAAAGTTTTCTCTCTTTATGTATTACCGATTATTCAAATACAAACACATTGATCATGACTGTGCCTTCCTAAAGTTTTATCTTTTCCCTTGGGAGATAGAGTGGACACATAAAATGATACACTAATGGCCCAGTATTTAAAACTTTCTGGTGAGAGGTCTCATGGGGCTCAAAGAAATCTCGAAACATTATTAGTTCATTACTCCAGAGCACTTAATTAAATTTGGTCTAAAATGAGATTTTAGTAAAGTTGCATGAGTTGATAACAGTATCTCAAAATGATAACAGCATGGCAATTTTTTCATTAGATATTCTTTTTATTTTTCAGAGATACTAAACAGGTGTTTTCTTTACAATGGCATTGCCTCATAAAAAGTAGGGTGTGCTGGTATTTATCAGAACATCAGAGAAATATGCATAATCATTTTCATTATTCATTATTAACTGGAGTAATCTTTAGTACAAAAGCCAGTGTAAGTCATGGTTTGCTGTTTGCATAATTATCTACTTAGGAGGTCATGTAATATTTTGTTGATGAGAGAGTACCCAGTACATTTCTTTCAGGAAATATTCCTTTTTTCCCCCTTATCTGTAAAACTCTTTGATATCTTATAATTTCGAGTCTTGCCCGTTCGGCCTTTCTTCTTTCTGTGTCTCTGCCCTGGAATTAATCTTCCGTGCCCTTCTTGTTTCGACGCCATTCCTTCTCTCAGTGATAGTGGTTCTAAAGTCCACCCAGCCAGGCGCTCCTGTGATTGAATCATGGCCGCCATGCCCAGCTGAGCACAACCAGTCTCTGATTCCCTTCCTGATAGAATCTGGAGTAACTTGAGTCTGAAAGATGCTTTAATGTCAAATTGATTCTTACATTTCTGTGGGGGAAGTAGCTCTCTGAGAACAGGGCCTAAACTGGTTTGTTAGCAGTGTGCTGAGAATTCTAAGAAAATCTTAATGATATTTTTTGAATGAAATGTTATTCTGCACATATAAATATAAGGTCTCTAGTGGAGAGAGAGGGAGGACTTAAGTAGAAAATGTTGGATGAATTCCGCTTGTGATTCCTTCCAGTCTGGTTGGAAGCTTATTTCCCTTTAGAGAAACATGATTCTATCCACTCTTTTTTACATGTCCTGGTTGTCTCATGGGGGTGCCCTCAGTTTCTCAAAACACATTTTATATCACCCCAACTTAAAATTCTTCCCTTAATGTTTATCATATGGGTCCCCTTGTCTCCACTGTTCCCTGCAAGTGCTGTAGTTACTGTCCCCTGGGCAACACCCGCAACAGGACCTCCCCTCCTCCTGTGTCTCTACCACCAGCCTTCTTCTGACTGGTTTCTCGTACACTGTAGCCACGTGAGTCTTCCAAACGCACAGTTTCAATCTGGTTGTTTTTATTCAAGGCCTTCTCTGTCTCCTTAGTCTACAGACTGAAAACTAAACTCTTTAGCATGTTAAGACCAGCGGCAATTCAGAGGGGCCTCCCACCGAGCTCTGCAGTTTTGACGACCACTCCCCCATTGCGGCAGGGAACAATTTCATTCCCCCATGGATGCTCTGTAGGGGGCGCTCTGTCTTAGTCTCCTTTCTGTACCTACTGCCCCAACGCTGAACATTCGCAGACCACCTTTTCCACAGAAGTCTCTGATTTCTCTCAAGTTGTCCCTCCCACTCATAGACTGTCTCAGAACTGACCTCACACCTCTTTCATAACACTCAGAACTTTCTGTCTTGGATTATATTCACTACTAGACAATTCCTTTTTAGAGGCAACGTTTGATTTTCTTAGGGATCCTCACCAGTTTTCTTTACACAGCAGGCGTTCGTTCAACAAATAAATTTTGAATTAACAAAATATATACTGTGCAACCCTTTTAGAAGGGCTGGAGGTGGTGCTATGTAGAGAGAGTATAGAAACCTCAGAAAGGTGGGGCCTGTTGCTGACCATGGCACAATTTCAGGGATCATGAATTACATTATAGTCTAGGTTGCATGACTCCTGGGGACACTTTTTATGTAGAGTACAATTCCAGTGGATGCTAATTACATAGAGTACAATTCCGGGGGCACCAATTACGAGAAATACTATGCCTGGTCCTGGGTAGGTATTCCTATTTCTAGAATTTTTCTGCCAAGGAAAGTGTTCTCTCCATTGTCTTATTCTAAGTTTTGAGAGATTTAAAATACCATGGGTTAGAATTGCAAGGCGTATGTGTGTGTGTGTGTGTGTGTGTGTGTGTGTGTGTGTGTGTGTTTGGAGTGTGTTTCAATTATTTCAACAATCGGATAATACTTATGACTGCTGTTTTGATTAAACAGTAATAGATGGGCGGGAAAGGGTGTGCTTCTGGGGTGGCCCACTGGAAGACAACGTTGAGTTTTTATCTTGACAGAGCTGGCAGTGAGCGGGTAGAGAGAGTTTGGGAGATGGTGAGGTTTAATGAGGCACACAGCTGGGAGTTAGAGCCCAGCGTCATAAAGCTGGCTCTGACACCTTGCCCTCTAAGCTTCAGTTTTGTCACATGTAAGATGAGTGGTTTGGACTAGAAATTGCTGGAGGTGACTTCCAGCAATTTGTATTGCTGGGATGCATATTCCTGGAATATGTAAGGGAACTAGAGGCAGGACTGAGGGCATTTAAATAGCCATGGATTCTTATTCTATCTGTTGGAGATACCAAGAGATTGCAAACTGTGCACCTCAATGAGCTGGGAATTGCCACTGAACGTAACATCCCTTTCTAATTTTTAAATGAGCTATTTTTTTCCAGCTGTCAGATTCTGATTTATAATTTAAAGTGTTGTTCTAGTTTTTGAAGACCGAGTGATAGGACGAAGGGCTGACTGTGACTTCCGCTGGGTACTCCCTTACAGTGTTGCTGCTGGATACCCGGATTTAGACTCTGAAGTAACCCTAGATTTTAAAGTGCTGTCTCTCTAGTTAGTGAAATTAGAACCTTGGCAGTATGCATCAAGTAGGAAATTTGTAGACTTTAACAATACATTGCATATGTTACAAACATTTGTTTGATTAGTGTATTAGAAGGTGCAAGTTTGGGTGCAGGGTAAATTCAGGCCCAGTATTCTGTGATTCTGTGAAATGTGATTAACTGTAGGGGAAGAAATGCACATGGTATCCAGCATTCATTCATTTATTTGTTTGTGTATATATTCATTCAGTACCTGATTATTGGGTGCTACTAGTTGCTGGGGCTGAGCTGAAGACAACATTGGCATGGTTTCTACACCCATGGTTGGATGGAGAAGAGAGCCTGCACTTGTCTTTTACTACACTCTAGCCACACTGATTTTTTTCTGTTTTGTGAATATGCCAAGCTCATTCTTGTAGTTCTCCGTGTCAGAAATTTCACATGGAGGGCTCCATCTTATTATTTAGGTCTAAGGTGAGATGCTGCCTGTATTATTACTTATGTATCTGCATAGCAGACTACCCTCAAGCTTAGTGGCCTAAACAACAATAACCATTTATTATATCTCACAGTTTCTGTGGGCCAGGAATTCAGAAGTGGCTTACCTGGGTGGTTTTAGCATGAGGTATCTCCTGAGGTTGCAGGAAGATTTTGGCAAGGTGAGCTATCTTCTGAAGGCTTGACTGGAGCTGGAGGATCTCTTTCCAAGATGATTTACTTATGTGGTGCTGGATGTTGGCAGGAGGCCTCAGTTCCTCCCCACGTAGGTGGCTCCATTGGTTGCTTGAGCATCCTCATAACATCGTGCCCACTTTTACCAGATAGAGGAATCAAGAAAGCAGAGCAGAAGCCACTATGTCTTTTATGACCTAGCCTTGGAAATCACACACCATCATTTCTGCAATACCCTGTTGGCTACCCAAGTCAGCCCTATTCATTTCGAAGGGGACTACACAAGAATATTAACTAACACCAGAAGGCAGAAGTCACTGAGGGCCCTCTTAGAGGCTCCCTACTAAACAGAGAGGCTTTCTTTGCAATATATCTGTAAAGTAACACTCCCTTCCACCCTGAAACTGTCCAATTCAGTGCTTTATTATCTTTAAGGCAGTCGTGACTATCTGAATTTTTTAAAAATCTGGCTGTCCCAACTGGAGCCTAATAAGTTTTGTGAGAATAGGGATCTTGCCTGCATGTTCAGCACCACATTCCTGGTGCTTTGAACTGTGTCTGGCACATGATAAATGTTGATTGAATAAATATCAATTGTGTGAATGCAATTAATTCATTCATTTAAAAGGGATCTTATTTATTTATTACACCTCATACCTCCAAAAAGTAAGTTGTGGCACCTTCTGATAAAAGGCATAAATAGGATAAAGCCATAAAACCATGTTAAGGCTAAAATGAAAAGTAAAGGGGGATTGTGTTTGCATATCTTTGTCTATATATCTACTTATCTATCTGTCTGCCTAGGGCTTGGTGATTGGTGATCCAATTTACCTCTTTTGTAGGTAGAAATTTGGGGTCAGAGAAGTTACTTGTCTTGTCCAAGGATGAAATTCGAATGCAGTGCTGGGTCCCGTTATACCACGTCCCTCAACTGGATTGCCAACATCCTGGACATCTTAGTGAATCAGTCATTCCCACAACACAAAAACCAGTCTAACAAAGTATGGATACAAAGATGGTTATAAAGTTGCTTGTATGTACGGAACACACTGAAGATAGCCTGTGCTCCACTGTGAAGAAACCAAATCTAATTAGATGGTAGAGGAGAACTCAGCTAAGTTAATCAATATAGATAAGTAGCAATGCTTCAGATGTTGAAAATAAAGGTTACGATTCTATGTGCAAAGAGGCCACCTGTAGAAGCTGGAAATATGTGCTGTATCTTAACCTGAGTGGGAAGCTACGAAGACTCCTGGGGCTCCAGGGCCCAAAAAATGCAGACTGTGAAAGAAAGCAGACTAAGCCTGCTGAGTTGTTAAAAATTTGTTTAATTTTTTTTTTATGTTTGAGACGGAGTCTCACTTCATCACCCAGGCTGGAGTGCAGTGGCACCGTGTTGGCTGACTGCAACCTCCGTCTCCTGGGTTCAAGCAATTCTCTTGCCTCAGCCTCCCAAGTAGCTGGGATTACAGGTGCCCACCACTACACCTGGCTAATTTTTATACTTATAGTAGAGACGGGGTTTCACCATGTTGGCCAGGCTGGTCTCGAACTTGTGACCTCAGGTGATCCACCCTCCTTGGCCTCCCAAAAATTTTGTTTAATTTTTAAAAGGCTTTTCTGGTTCTCATTGTAAAAGCAATGGTCATTGCAATGGTTTCTGCATGGTCAGTGCAGAAAATTTGGAAAATGGAGAAAAAATAAAAAGAATTCTCAAATTATTTAAACTTATGATTCCTAATGATAACCACATATGCACTTTGGTGTATGGCTTAGTAGTTTTTTCCTATGCATGGATAAATAGATTTTTTTTAAAGTGGAGATAATATTGTACATATTATATGTAACCTATTTTTTAAACCTAATAATTAGCCTTTTCTCATGCTATTAATCTTTTTCTATGGCATAACTTTTAAAACTCTTTTTCATGGGGAATTTAAACTTAAAAGGTAGACAGATTACAGGAAACAACAGATGCTGGGGAGGACATGGAGAAATAGGAACGCTTTTACACTGTTGGGAGTGTAAATTAGTTCAACCATTGTGGAAGACGGTGTGGCGATTCCTCAAAGATCTAGAACCAGAAATACCATTTGACCCAACAATCCCATTACTGGGTATATACCCAAAGGATTATAATTCATTCTACTGTAAAGGCACATGCACATGTATGTTTATTATGGCACTGTTCACAATAGCAAAGACTTGGAACCAACCCAAATGCCCATCAATGATAGACTGGATAAAGAAAATGTGGCACATATACACCATGGAATGCTACACAGCCATAAAAAAGGATGAGTTCATGTCCTTTGCAGGGACATGGGTGAAGCTGGAAACCATCATTCTCAGCAAACTAACACAAGAACAGAAAACCAAACACTGTATGTTCTTACTCATAAGTGGGAGTTGAACAATGAGAACATATGTACACAGGGAGGGGAATAACACACACCGGGGCTTGTCAGTAAATGGGGGGCTAGGGGAGGGATAGCATTAGGAGAAATACCTAATGTATATGATGGGTTGATGGGTGCAGCAAACCACCATGGCACATGTATACCTATGTAACAAACCTGCACGTTCTGTACATGTATCCCGGAACTCAAAGTATAATAATAATAAGTAGACAGAATATTGGAATGCTCCTATATTACTGATAGGAATGTAAAATGGTACAGCCATTTTGGAAAACAGTTTGACAGTTTCTCAAAATGCTAAATACAGAGTTACCATGTGACCCAGGAATTTCACTCCTAAGTATATGCCCAAGAGAACTAAGGACGTATTCATGCAAAAAAAAAAAAAAAAAAGTGTACATGAATATTTATAGTAACCTCAAATAGGAGACAACCCAAGTGTCCATCAACCAATGAATGAATAAACAAAATGTAGCATAGTATATCCTTACAATGGAATATTTATTCTACAATAAAAGGAAGTGCTGATACACACTGCAACATGGATGAACATTATGCTATGTGAAAAAAGCCAAACACGAGAAGACACATGGTTGTATGATTCCATTTATATAAAATGTCTGGAATAAGCAAATCCATAGAGATAGAAGGTAGACTAATGCTTGCTGGCAGGGAGTGACTGCTAACGTCCCAAATTAGATAGTGCAGATGTTTGTACAACTCTGTGAAACATACTAAAAGTCACTTGTACACTTCAAAAGAGTAAGTCTTATGGAATGTGAATTAAAGCTCAATAAAACTCTTATTAAAAAGTAGATAAAAGGGTTAATAATCTCTCTACTGAACAATTATCCCCCATAATGAATCCTGTTTCATCTGTACTCCTACCCACCTTCTCCCCCATATTATTTTAAAGTAGCATATTATTTCATTTATAAATATTTCAGTAGTTTGTGTACTTAAAAAATACATAACCATAATAGTATTATCATGCCTAAAAAATTTAACGTGTAATAAAATATTCAGTCAGTGCTCAACTTTCTAATCATGTTTTTAGACTGCTTAGCATTTTGTTGTGGAGATGGATCATAATATATTTAACCAGTTCCTGTTGATGAAGCTTGAGGTTATTTCTAACTTTCCAACTGATAAATAGTGCTTCAATAAACATCCTTATATATAAGTCTTTGTGTGCATCTCTGTTTCCTTAGGATAACTCCTTAGAAATTGAATTTAGAATGAAAGTGTATGAATGATCTCTAAGGCTCTAGATATTGCCAGATTGGCTTCCAATTTCTTGTGCTGTAGGTGTGTAGCATTTATAAATGAACACATAAGACTCTGAAAAATCAATTAGTTTACCAAAGATCGTAGAGCTACTAAGTGGCTGAGCTTACGACTGACTGGCCCAAAGCCACTGCCAATAGTGACTCACATAGCCATCATTTGATTTATGGACCTTGTCATGACATCAGAATTATCTGTTGTATTATCACCCTGAGGCTCACAGACTTCCCAGAAGCCTTTGGTTTAGGGCACAAGTTGTCTTTCATGAGCATAGTGGTGTTTTAAGAGCTATTTCCAAGGTATTTCTTCCTTGTAACTTTGTTTTGTAAGATGACCAATGTCAGATTATAACGTGTTTTTTTTTTTTTCTTGCCTAAAACCTTAAAAACCTAATATGGTAGCTATTTGGGGATTAACAGTGACATTCTTGTGGAGTGTATCTAGGGGATGTTTGTTTGTTTATTTATTTATTTATTTGTTTGTTTGAGATGGAGTCTAGCTCTGTTACCCAGGCTGGAGTGCAGTGGGGCGATCTCTGCTCACTGCAACCTCTGCCTCCTGGGTTCAGGCGATTCTCCCGCCTCAGCCTCCTGAGTAGCTGGGATTACAGGCGCTCGCCACCACGCCCAACTAATTTTTGTATTTTTAGTAGAGATAAGGTTTAACTGTGTTGGCCAGGCTGGTCTCAAACCCCTGACCTCAGGTGATCCGCCCGCCTCAGCTTCCCAAAGTGCTGGGATTACCGGCGTGAGCCACTGAGCTTGGCTTGTTTACATTTAAACTGTCATTCTTTCTGGAAAATTATCCAGCAAGTGTGTTTGGAGGATGTGTGGAATCAGGCTCAAAGGTTTCAGTTTTTTAAGAATTGGAGACAGCTGACTCTGTGATGATCATAGAAGATAGCAAGGTGAGCTACGGCCATGATAGAATAGAGACTATTCTCAAGCCTTAATCTGCCAGACAATTGCTAAAATCAAAATCTTAAGTTGTGCTTTCAGTTTTTCACATAGGTAGATATTTTAAGATTCTAATGGAGAAAATAGAAGATAGAACAGGAAACCACCAGAGTAAAAAGCTCCGTATTCTGGACTATAATCTACTTTCAACCTGGTTTATAAGTAAGAAACTATTAAAATTGACACAACTTTATGGTAGTTGGTCTTGCAGAGGGCAATTTTCTTGATTTACTACAGTTTATAACCTAATCCTCCATTTAAAATGCCTATAAATTATTTATGTCTAGGGTAAAAATCCAGGGCTTCACATGAATATGGTTTCATCATTTCTACCTCTAGGTATTTTTTTTAAAGCTGCCTGTAATCAAATGATAGCAGTGTGGTGGGTGGAACAGGTTGTAAGCAGTAATTGCAAACTGTATTTAAACAATAATAATAATATTTAGCATTTATAGAGCACTTTATATCTTCAAAGTACTTGCAAACATTATCTAATTAAATACCCTCTCTGATTATAATCTGGATACAAATGCACTTAAACTCAGGACAGGGTCATGAGAAAAGTATGCATTTGAAAGTTGGTGCTAGCTATGCTTTAAAAACCTATACAATGATGGGAAAGTTAGAGTTCAGATTCTGTTGGACTGTTTTTGTGCATTTCAGTTCAGCCTGATGGCAGAATTAGATCATATCTGCACTCGATGACTCTGCTTGATAACTTATCACTGAAATCTGAGTGTTGATCATCACACTGATCCTTACAGTTGCTACAACACGAATAACATAAATAAGCTTTAAAATGAGGTCCCTCTCTACATTTCATGCCCTGGCTTCAGATGAAACTGCCATTAGTAAGTGAAATGAAGTGGCATAGTGCAAGGAAGAATGGCTACGCATTGTGGTTTAGTAATGTCCATCTGAGAGTAATAGATTTAACTGCACCGTAGGATACATCATAAAGAAATGCACTGGAGAAATGAAACATCTTTAGTTTGACTGTATTAACTACTTCTTGCTGTTTTGGATATGTGTCTGTGTATTGTCCCCTCGCACGTATACCCTGTGTTGCCAATTTAGATGGTGTTTGGAGCAAGGACCTGTGCGGCTTACTCAGTAGGTAGTAGAGAGTTCTGCAGTTGGTAGATTCTCAGTAAATGTTATCCTGCATGTTGTGATTTTCTAAAAGCTAGTTGACAGTTTAACTCCCTAAGTCAGCAGTTCTCAAAGTGGGATCCTTGGACCAGCAGCTTCAGGATCCTCTGTTAGGCCCTGCCTCTCTCAACTTTTTTTTTTTTTTTTTGGAGACAGGGTCTCACTCTGTCACCCAGGCTGGAGTCCAGTGGTGCGATCTCAGCTCACTGCAGCTTCGACCTCCGGTTCTCAGGTGATTCTCTCATCTCAGCTCCTGGGGTAGCAAGTACTACAGGCATGTGCCACCATACCTGACTGATTTTTGTATTTTTTATAGAGAAGGGCTTTCCTACGTGATCTCGGATTCCTAAGCTCAAGGGATCTGCCTGCCTCAGCCTCTCAAAGTGCTAGGATTACAGGCGTGAGCCACCATGCCTGGGCTCGCTCAACTATTGAATCAGAAACTCTTAGGATGGGGACCAGCAACTTTTGCGTTAAGAAGCCCTCCTAGTAATTCAGAAGCATGTGGGAGTCTGAGAACCACTGGCCTAAATGTTTAAAAGATAGTTTCCTTGGCTGGGCATGGTGGCTCATGCCTGTAATCCCAGCACTTTGGGAGGCCAAGGTGGAAGCTTCACTTGAGCCCAGGAGTGTGAAATCAGCCTGGGCAACATGGCGAGACCATATCTCAATAAAATAAAATAAAATAAAAAAGAAAAGCAAAATATATTCATGGAAATTTGGGTATGCCTGAAAATGTTGCAGAATAGGAAATAGTAAATTATTTATGGTAAGTGCAACTTTTTCATAAGGCATATGACCTCAGAGAAATTGTGGACAGTACACATTCTTAGGAGTATGGAAGTTAAAATTTTTTTACTAATATTTGCATTTGAATTGTTTGTAAGACTCAAAGATACTTGAAATTGAAAAGTCTACAACTTTCAATTGATAATTCTGTACTTTGCATTGTTCTTTGCATTGACATGTCTTTTTCTTTTTTTTTTTTTTTTTAGCAAGTTTATTCAAGGTGCAGAAAAGCCCCACTCCCTTGATCAACAAGATGCATCCTTCTGATGTCGATTTCCTGTTTTTCCCTATAGGCCTGTAGGGATTGAGTTTGAAGCCCCAGGAGGTGCTGACATTTGCTTGGAAACTGAAAGAAAGAATCCATATTCACAAATTCTTTCAGCCCTACTTCTGTTAGAAGCCTAAAATCTTCGAGTTATTTATTTTTTGAGACCTGGGAAATGGAATGTATATTTGGAATCTAGACAGCAGGTTGAAGATTTCCTTACTGGGAAATCCCACAGACTTTCTTTGTAACAACAACTTGTAAGCATCTCTTACCTAGCCACAAAAGTGTCCCATGTTGCTATTTAATCCACAGTTCTTAGATAAGCACATTGCTTATATTGCATGTCTGTTTATATGGAGGAAAAGTTGATGGCAAGTATGGTTGTTAAAGCAACTTTATATACAACTGATAGTGAGCGTGCATGAAAATTTTATACTCATTGCTGGGGAAAATGCTTTTAAAAATGTAAATTTGAAGACCTCCCCTCATAGAAGAACTATTTTGAAGGAAAAACCGATGGTTAGACAATCATCATCAGACTAGATATAAAAAATACCTGGTTAAAGATTATTAGGTTTTTCCCAGTATTGACACTTAGAGGGATAGCTCCAGTTTTCTCAGAAGAGGTGTTAATATCATTAAAGTATCAGGGAATTGTTCAAGCATTTTATTTTTATTTTATTTTTTGAGGCAGGGTCTTGCTCTGTTGCCCAGGCTGGAGTGCAGTGGCTCAATCATGGCTCACTGTAGCCTCAAACTTCTGGGTACAAGTGATCCTCCCACTTCAGCCTCTTGAGCTGGGACTACAGGTGTGTGCTACCACACCCAGCTAATTTTTTGAAATTTTTTTTTTTTGTAGAGATGGGGGGTCTCCCTATGTTGCCCAGCGTGGTCTCAAACTCTTGGGCTCAGCCTCCCAAAAGTGCTGGGATTACAGGTAGGAGCCAGTGTGCTGGGCCCTGTTCAAGCCTTTAAATCGGGAATACTAACTGCTCTAGATGGGACAATGAATGACATCATTTGAAAACTTCCGTCTGGAACTAAGTTTGGAGCAGTTTCCTTTCTAGTGGTGGTGAAATCATAGACTCTGTCTAAGAAAGCTACAAATTTGAAATGGCTTTTTCACAGCCTGTTTATCTGATTCCTCCAACGCTTGAGATAATATATGTTGCAATTGGCGTGGTTGAAAGGGCCCTTTGAGTTTGGGAGTGCTGCGATTTTTCAATTGAGCTCCAAGACTTTCAGAGCATGGATACTCTGGGTAGCAGTGGAACCAGGTGGTTCTGTTGCTGGTGTCTTACTCTGGAATGGTTGACAGAGTCAAAACTAAGCATTTGCTCTTCCTAAAAGGCCTCTGCTTCTTCTGTCTTCTTTAAATTGGTAGCTCCAGCACCAGTTAGAGAGTACTCAGTTTTCTTTCCATGCAAACAAATAAACAAATAAAGCGCTGTAGTGCTTTCTAGAGCCAATACCCAGATGCTATTCAGGGAAAGAACATTGCACAGACACTCTGTTGTCTGAACAATATGTATATTCTCTCTGGGAGTATTTTAAAGATGTAACTTGTGCTGGTATTGTAGCCATCATTTCTTGAATATAAACAGCTTTTATTTTGGGAGAAGAACAGATGTAAAAGTGTGAAATATAGAAGTTTACACATTTTGGGGGAGGGGGAAAGGGAAGAGGAACAGTATTTCTTTAAAATCATGGTAAACCAATCTTAGTTTTTCCTTTGTTTTCTTTGAGTGACTGAAAATTAGCATGGGAAATCTGCTGGAACCTGACCAGCTGGGTACCTAAACCTCCATTTCACTGATTGCACCAGAAAAAGTGCCAGTGGATAATTATTATAGGTCCTCATCACTGGAAACAAAAAGGGTCCTTCTTCAGGAGGAAGCCTCTCTATGAAGAGAGGAAATCGTAGACATTCAGTGAAATATGTATGATACTTAAAATAAATCTTAGAGAGATACAGAGATCCGAGCCCCAGATACAGGGTTTGCTTTCTAGATTGAAAGAGTCTGTTGAAGGGGTTTGAAGGCTGGGTGTCCCTCTGTGATCTCTGAACCAAAGCTCTTGCCAGTTCAGTCCCCCAACCCCCTTTAATTAGTGTGTATGTTTGCAAAGAGTACCTGGGGGTATTCAAAGCAGCAGGGACATTCCTGTGACTATTAAGTTCTCTGTCCCTTTGAGGCCAGGTCTGTTTCTTTTCTTTTCTGGAAGCAAGGTCTCTTGTATCTCATCACTTGATACAATGCAAGTTGCATCAGATTTAAAAAAATAATCCCCTGTCCTTCTTTCCTGTTTCCTCCGTGTGGCTGCTGCCTTCTATAAGTTGCTGCTGGTTTGCAGGATTCACAATCAGGATTTTGTCCCTGTGGAGATTTTGTTTAGTTTGCAAGGAACATTTTTATTTGAGTTGCATGGTTCCTTAATAACTCCCCTTTGACAAATATTCTGGTTAAAATTTCTATGATCATTATATTTACTTGGTTGTTTAGTATCGCATTTTTATACTGAATTATTTCAACCATGTTTTCAAATGGACAGCTCTCAAAATTTTTTAAGTACATTTAAGTGAAACTTGGAATGTGCATAAGTTGTGAGATCATGTGAACTCTGCACTTCACAGACTTGATAAAGTCAAACCTTTATCCAGGGGATGCTTCCTCCACAATACATGTAAATCTGAATTTAAAAATATACCTAAGAATATGCAGAAACTGGAACTCTCATACATTGCCGGTGGGTCTATGAAATAACTCAGCCACTTTGAAAAACAGTTTGGCTATTTCTGAAAAAGTTAAACTTACTACACGACCTAGCAAGTCCACTTCTGCGTATGTACCCAAGAGAAATGAAAACATAGGTCCACACAGAAACTTGTACAGGAGTGTTCATGAGGAGCATCATTCACAGTGGCCCAAAAATGGAAACCACCCAAATGTCTATCAACTGATGGATAGGTAAACAAAGTGTAGTGTTTTCATACAATAGAATACTATTAGGCAATAAAAATGAAGGAAGTACTGAATCAGGCTGCAGCATGCATGAACCTCAAAATGTTATGCTAAGTGAAAGAAGCCAGACACAATGATTGCATATTGTATGATTCTGTATATATGAAATGTCTAGAAAATGCAAATCTACGGAGGTAGAAAGTAGATTACTGGTTGGCTAGGGTGGAGAGGAAAACAGGGAGTGCCTGTAAATGGGCCGGAGGGATCTTTTTGGGTGATGAAAATGCTTCAATATTGGATGGTGGTAACCTGAGTGAATTTTATGGTATGTAAGTACCTCAATAAAGGTGTTAAAGTATAATATGCCTGAGACACTGCTTCATAGTTGACCAGCTCCACACACCGTGAAGGCAAATTTCCTAGTCAGGTCTCTGTGATATTTCTAGGAAGGCCATCTCTTCAACACCTGGAGAGATAGATGGGTTCTCTGATCCTATCTTCTGCTTTCTACGTATTTTCGTGTCATTCTTTATTCTGAAGCGCTTGTCATATTTTACAAACATAACGATAATCATTTCCTTCAAGATAAGGTAGCTCAAATAACTTATTCCTCCTGTAGAGAAAGGACTTTGGGGCCAGGACTGGGAGAGCTATTCCTGTCTAAAACCATTCCTTACTAACTCTTTCTGTTTTCTTAATGTTCCATGCTTTTCTCACCTCTATGCTGTTATGCACACTGTTCCTGCTGCCTGAAACTCTTCCCAAGCCCCTATCATAATGTGCCATTTGTTCATTTGTTAACAAATTATTTGGTTGTCTCCCTCCACACCCTCTTCCTGCAGAAGAGACTATAAGCTCCACAAAGGCAAGCTATGTTTTGTGTATCCTTGTATCCATTTATTAATGAAATGAATGCCTGCTCGTGACTTACAGCATAGGCTAAACTCCTTAACTTAGCAAGACCTTCTATGATCTAACCATTCCCTATTTTTCTACAGTATCAGTAACTACCACCCCATTCCACCTCCATACACTTTATTTCCTCCACTGTTACCCCTAGAGCTCAGCTCTTTTGTTCCCACAAAGTTGGGGAATTCCTTTTCTCAAATGATCAGAGCTCCTTTTAGCATGTCATCTTCCTGGAATCACAGATACCAGGTGTTTTTCAAATTGTAATGGGTTGTGGAGTGAGTTTAATGGGTTGCAATCAGATTTTGAAAAAAAATTAGAATAGAGTAGAAAAATGTTCCTATGTTTACTGTTACTGTTACTCACCATTACTATGATGGCGAGGGAAGGAAAGGGGCAGTAATCAAGGAGGAATGAGTTGCTGGAAACTGCAGTAGCCACCATGGCCTTGAGAATACCCTCTAGGAAATGTGGAGAAAGGAAGAGGGCTTAAGAGTCTGCAGAACTGGGTGGAGGCTCAGCTCCAGTAATCATTGTGGTCATTCGCCCAGCCTAGCATGGTCTTGGCTATCATAAAAACAGAGGGAGAGAAAAATCATGGACACTGTCATATTATGTACAGGAAAACTGTGCAGGCTTCTACCATGTGCCACAGTGAGGTTGAGTAATGGGGAGAGTATGGCCCTTCCCTCGGAGCAGCTGGGAGACAAGAGTAGAATGTTCATGAAACCAGTGGAAACTGAGCACATGCTGAGCTTCTGAGGGCTGTGTGTGCTAGGTGTTGAGTGAGGGCCAGGTGGGTGGGTGGCACAGGCCAGTGGCACATGCTGGCCTTGGTTAGGGCAAGACTTTCAGCGAGGAATTTGTGGTCCAGGATTTGGTCCTAAGCTTTGCAGTTCCAAGAACTATACTGAAATGTGGCTAGGATAGAGTCTCAGGTCACACCAACATGTGGATGTACCTGACACTGATCTGGAGTGTAATTTATATAATAATAATAGTAATACACATGCATTTAGGCTAGTCGATTGAAGCAGTGGGAGATGAGAAAGAACAAAATTTAATACCAATATTTATAGCTAATATACTTTGTGACCACTGGCCACGTGTCAAGCACTGGGTTAATTATTTTAATAAAAGTCTAGTCTTATTAATGCAGCCACATCTTGTGATATATACTATTCTAATTTTATAGATGTGGAAAGTGAGGCTTAGGTTAAGTGATTTATTGAAAATGATGGAGCCAGTTTTTGAACCTAGTTTGGTCCAATTTTTTTTCTTTTTCTTTTTTTTTTTTTGAGACAGAGTCTTGCTCTGTCACCCAGGCTGGAGTGCAGTGGCACCATCTCAGCTCACTGCAAGCTCCGCCTCCCGGGTTCATGCCATTCTCCTGCCTCAGCCTCCCAAGTAGCTGGGACTATAGGCATCCACCACCATGCCCAGCTAATTTTTTGAATTTTTAGTAGAGACAGGGTTTCACCATGTTAGCCAGGATGGTTTCGATCTCCTGACCTTGTGATCCGCCTGCCTCGGCCTCCCAAAGTGCTGGGATTACAGGCGTGAGCCACTGTGCCTGGCTAGTCCGATTTTAAAACATGAAATGTAAGCATTGTGCTATTGCTGCTTCCCATTTTCTAAATAAATAGTGGGAATGCTTTTCTAATGGTAGAACTACTGTCTGCTCTCTGGGGAACTGTACTTCTGATTTTGGAGGGACATAGGACTCTGAAACTTTGATTAGAAATGTGCTTGACAGGGTTGGAATGAGGCTGGGGTTGAACCTGGAGCGTGGAGTCCAAATTCTGATCCCACCACAAGTGGTGGTTGGACAGGGCTGGAAACCCACACACTCTTCCTTTTGTTAACCTGATCGAGCCACAAAACCCCTGTTACTAAGACACTTTCTTATGAAAAACATATCAGGGAGGTTTGGTTCATCATCTAGGTCCCCTGGTTAATGTTAATCCTTACTTTTGTTTTTCTGCCTTGCTCTGTTCACACTTTTTATCACCTGCATCTCTGTTTTGCTTCAGAATGATTTGTCCACAAGCCATTGGTGTATTTAAATTATAAGCTTCTTAAGGGCAGGAACTTAAGACACTTTCTCAAGTGACTTGTTTACATTTGCATTCTGCAGTGTGCCTAACACGTAATTCACCAGGACGTGTCTTCTGGGAGTCATCGTGTTTGGATCCTGCATCCCCACTATAACTGAGTGGACAGGCGACTTGCTATGCAGTTGTGAAAATACAATTTCATGTGTTTTTAGCCTTTAAGAGGAGGGATTGTGATTCTGGGAAACCAAACCTTAACAAAGTGCAGGACCCCTGGGAAATGGAAAGACCTGTGTCCTAGGCAGCTGTGGGTCTTAATGCTTGCATTGTTAGAAACCTCCTAGGTGCTATGCAAGGGGAAGAAACTGAGAGGGCCCTGAGATGGTGAAATGGCCTCTACTCATTGCTCTTCTATCTCCCCTTTAGACTTTAAAGTGGTTCATTAAGACAACAGACTATAAACCTCTTTATAAGTACAGGCTCAATAAATGAGACACAGGTGAATTTTTATTGGCGACAAGTCACTGTGCAGGTGCAGCAGTTATATTCCCATGTCTGCTCTATGCACTCTAAAAAGCACTGTCTGTGGGGCAGCTTCCCCAGTGGCTAACAGGAAAGTATGGGAAAAGACATTTTGCCGCCTCATGGCGTGGATAGCTAGCTAGCTGATTAGCTGGTTATCAACTCCCCGGATTTCCTCAGCACCTGTCATTAGTGGCACATTGTAGGCCCTCAGATTTTTGTTTAAGTCATCTGGAGCCATCTAATTCTGCTTTTAAGAAGCATGTGAGCAAGAAAGATTCTTTCTAACACAGGGCATCAAATGAAGTTCAAACATGGCCTTGGCATGGGTGACAGATTATAGGTGGATTTCAGTTACCTGATAGGAGTTGAGAATGATGGAATCTACATGGTGGCAGATTTACTCTCACCTCCCTGACTGTTGGCAGAGAAGGGCCTGCCTCTGGCTGGTCCAATCTAATATGGAAGGAGAGGATGAGCTGTTCTTCAGAGGCTACAGGGTTTGAATAAATGCAGCCATAAATCCCAGAAGCAGTTGCATGTATTAGCTTAGACATAGGTCTTGGAGGCACAGGGTAAAAGCCTCCCCTGCCTATGCTTGCATTTGTGTGTTTCTTCGTTTCATTTTTAGCTTCTAAATATTGATTAGCTTTAGTGAGTGCTCACTGGCTCTTGTGGTTATCCTACAGCTATAGGGGGATAAGGCCCATGACAGTTAAATGGCATTCCTGGAACAGAGCAAAGTGGAAGGGGTGGTCAGGTCTGCAAAATGCAGTTCAGCAGCAAATGCTATCCCGATGTCTCCCACGTTCTCTACTGTGTACCTCCTACTAAGCTTGGGTGCTTTTTTCCTTTACAAATGCAGACTGTTGCACTTTACAGTAATCAGCTGATATGACTGCAATGAACTATGACTTCACTGGATAGAATCTTTGAAATCAAATGTATTAAATTGACTCTTCCTTTCTCAGATAATAATGAGTAGACATTCCAGCTATAAAGAAAGAATTAATAGATTCCAAGCTTTTATAGGCTTTGGGGGCAGTAATAAAAAAAGAGAGGAACTGGCACAGATGCCGCTGTGCTTGATTTCATTCTTTTTGAGGGGTGTTAAGGTTCTTGACAGCCTCGCCAAATGATCCAAGGGGGCAAATGCACTGGCTCTGTGTGAGGCTGGGGATGGGGATGAAAGGTAGATACACTGTCTGTTTGATGCAGATTTGTGCTGCAATGTTCAAATCTTCAACCTGTTCTCAGTCTTTTGAAAATCAAGGCATGTAAATGAATGATGATAGCCTCTAGTGTCTGGTTAGGATTCCCCAGATGACACCTTGGCAGAGCATTTAGCCAGAACGTTTTTGGCACCTCAGAGAGTAACGTGTATAAAAGGTGACCATGAAATAATTTGGGCTCATTTGTGAGCTTCTGGCTTATCTCATTTGTTTTCAAAGTCACAGGAAGGAAAATGACTTACGATTACATCAGGGGTTGGACTCTCTGGATTTGAATCTTGGTGCTATAGCTTACTAGCTTTGCAGCTTGTGACAAGTTATGTAAAATCCCTACACTTTTCTACACCTATGAAATGGAGGTAACAATAACAGTACACATAGGACTATTGCTGGAATTAAAAAGACATATTTTATGTTAAGTATTTATGACAGTGCCTGCCATGTTGCAAATACACAATAAATGTTCAATACATTCAACATCAGCATCACTCTTGCAAACAATTTGAGAGCCTACTCTGAATCTGGTGCAGTGCAAGCAACTGGGTATATGTAGGTTTACAAGGTATTAGGTTCTGCCTCCAAGAAGTTCAAAGTGTAGTGGTAAAAACAGATGTAAAAATAGATAAAGAGTATTGTCAGAGCACCAGGGTAGATGGCTAGCTGTATAGGAGTGGGGAAGATGGAGGGAAGTGGACCAGATGGAGGGAAGGTCAGGAGTGGGAGTTTCATGGAGCTGAAATAACTTAAAGCAATTCTCAGTGATTCCCAATGCTATGATGAGAATGCCATTGATGTAAAATATTGATATAGATTAAGTCTGCATGTGTTGTGTCTTAGAAGTAAGCTTTGTGTTCCTTCCATGCTTTCCTGCCCTACTGCCCCCACTCCAGAACAAGCCATATCACTTCATGTCTGAGTTGTTCTGTCTGTCTTTCTTGCCTGTCACCCTCTGATTCATTTCTCCCTCTTCAATTTTTCTGGCTTAGGATCTGGAAACTTTTTATATGTGAAGTATTATTTATTAATAAGCAATAATGTGTGTTTCTTGCTTTGTATGAAAAACCCTAAAAATTGCTAATTAACAGTATGGAACTGAAAACACAGAAAATGCTATGTAAGCCCCCTTATTTCTGTCTTAGGAAGTCTATTAATACAACATATTAGTAGACCAAAGGACATTAATTATGGGATCATTTCAATGGATGTCAAAAAGGTATGGGGTACAACTTAGCAGTTATTTTTGATTAAAAAACAAAGCAAAAACTATTTTTAATAGACTAGGATTAAGGACATTCTTTCTTAACTTGATAATATGTCTAAAACCAATAGTCATCCCTGTACCTATCCTTTAAACACCAGAGACTCTCTGTGGTGCACACTGTTGGTTCCCTACCCGGCAGTCATCCCCATCCTTTTTCTTTCTCACAGAGCTCTGGATGTGTTTTGGTGTTTACCTTTCCACATTCTCAGAGGAAGTTGACCTCCACTTCCCCAGCATGGGGGAGGTAGAATAGATTAAGCCAGTCATTGGGATTCCATTCTTTTTGTTGATGATTGGCTTAAGCAAGTCATGCAACACAACCTGTCCAATAAGAAGGCCAGAGGAAGCCTCACTGGGGGTTCCTGGGAAGGCTTTCCTTTCTTTTACAAGTAAATATGTAAAAAGATATCTTCCCTATCCTGGACTTGGATATTATCTAAAGACTGTGATACTTAGGTTTGCTCCAGCCATCTGACAACCATGAGGGGAAAGCCAGGAGAATCACAGAATAAACGTATCAGGTCCCTACATTATTGAGCATCTGAATTAATCAACCCTGGAACTGGCCTGACTCCAGTCTTCATATTATATAGATAATACAATTTCCACATTGTTTAAGCCACTCTCAGTTGTGTGTTTTTTTTTACTTGCAGTTGCAAACATCCTAATTAATGCATGTTCTTTTTAAAGTGAGGGATGATATCAAGGTGTCAGGAATCAGATAATAACCAATAATAATATATAATGTAATGGAAATGTTAGCCATTGAATAAAGGCAAGACATAAAAGAAACAAGAATTATAAGAGGATGAGGGCCAGGCACAGTGGCTCATGTCTGTAATTCCAGTGTTTTGGGAGGCCAAGGTGGGAGGATGGCTTGAGGCCAGGAGTTCAAGACCAGCCTGGGCAACATAGAAAGACCCTGTCTCTAAAAACAATTTTAAAAAATTAACCAGATATAGTGGTATGCACCTGTAGTCTTAGCTTCTCAGGAGGCTGAGGTAGGAAGATTGCTTGAGCCCAGGAGTTTGAGGCTGCAGTGAGCTATGCTGGTACCACTGTATTCCAGCCTGGGCAACAGAGCAAGACTTTGTCTCAAAAAAAATAAATAAATAAATAAATAAATAAGTAAAAAAGAGTTACAAGATGACAGGGACAACCTTGTCATCATTTACAGATGATACCTCAAAAACTTAGAGAATCAACTAAAGATATATTAGAACAATAACAATTCAGCAATGTGGCTGGATACAAAATAAATATACCCAAATCAATAGTATTTTTGTGAGCCAAGAAAAACAATCAATTACAAAATATATTTGAAAAAAGATACCCTTGGCCAGGCATGGTGGCTCACACCTGTAATCCCAGCACTTTGGGAGGCCAAGGCAGGCAGATCGCCTGAGGTCAGGAGTTCGAGACCAGTCTGGCCAATATGGCAAAACCCTGCCTCTACTAAAAATACAAAATAATTAGCTGGGCACCTATAATCCCAGCTACTAGGGAGGCTGAGGTACAAGAATCACTTGAACCCAGGAGGTGGTGGTTGTAGCGAGCTGAGCTCATGCTTCTGCACTCCAGCCTGGGTGTCAGAGTGAGACTCTGTCTCAAAAAAAAAAAAAAAAAAAAAAAAAAGGAAAAAGAAAAGAAAACAGATATTCTTAATAATAATAAGTGTAAAATATCTAGAAATTAATGTAATAAGAAATCTGCAGGACTTATATGAAGAAAAAATTAAAACCTAACAAGGGACATACTAAAGGCCTGAATTAATGCAAAAATATCTCATGTTTCTGAATAGGAAAATTTAGTAATATTATTCCCATATTAATATGGAATTTCAATAAAAATATCAAGCAGGAATTTGTTTTAGGATCTGAAAAAATTATTTTAAATTTTATTTGGAAATATCAGATAAGAATAGCTTTTTAATCTGCTGTTATAATTTGTGTTTTTGTTGCACACGTGTATGTGCATGTGTGTGTATGTCTGTGTGTGTGTTCTGTGTCTGTGATGCAATATTTGCCGCATAAAAGTTTTAACAGTTATACACAGTAGATTTTGATTTTTATTAATATAAGCACTCTGTTTCAGGTAATGACTTTTCCTAAGAATTACATCTGGTTTCATAAGGTGTTTTGTTTGTTTTACTTTGTGTTTGCTCAATTATGTATGATTTTCCTTTTCTTTCTATAATTTGTCTTGATTTGTTTTTGCTGTATCACTTGAAAGCAGCATATATAGTAAGATTTACTTTTTGAACCCAATGTAAGAGGTTTCTTTTAAAGGAGGAATTTAAACCATTTGGTTTTACAGCCATAAATGATGTGTTTGATCTCTTCTCATTTTATTTATTCTACTTTCTTTAGTGTTTTCTTTGTTTTTCTATATAGACTGTTTTCAAAAATCCAATTTGAATATATACTTAAACCTGTAGTTCTCTAATTATGCAAATTAATTAAAAAAGGAATCCTTTAATGTCCCCATTACATAAAAAAGAGTCAAGTTAAATTTTATTTCTCCTACACTGACCTCATCCTTCCAGTGTTTGTTAATTCAATTTGATGCTATAGATTAAAAATACATTATATTATCTGATATCAATTTAATATTATATGCTTCTTATTTTTTGTTTTAAATTAAAATGTGAAGATATTAAGTACAACTCATTGTTTTTCAAGGATGCTTTTAGCCTTTTGCATTAAATTGGTCATTACATGAAATTA